>NW_025791807.1:166877-333754 GCF_000001405.40 Homo sapiens | reverse complement strand
AAAGTGCTGGGATTACAGCCGTGAGCCACCACGTCCAACCTAAAATTTTTTAATTAATAAAAAAAGAAGAAGATGAGTTGCTGTAAACATTTCATCCATGGTTCAAGGTGCAACCTATATATAAGCTGTTGTCAGGCCAAGTGTGGTGGCTCACACCTGCAATCGCAGAGCTTCGGAAGTCCTAGATGGGAGGATCGCTTGAGCCCAGGAGTTCAAGGCCAGCCTGGACAAGATAGCAAAACCCTCTCTCCACCCCCAAAAAAGAAGATAAATAGGCCAGGCATGGTGATGTGTGACTGTAGACCCTGCTACTAGAGAGGCTGTGGCAGGAGGATGGCTTGAGTCCAGGAGTTCAAGGTTGCAATGAGCTATGATTGCACCACTGCACTCCATCCTGGGTGACAGAGCAAGATCTTGTCTCTGAAAAATAATATATATATTATAGCATATATAATATTTATATTTTAGAGACAGGGTCTCTAAAGTTAAAGGTTAAAATTAAAGGTTAGAGTTCATCTAACCTTCCAAAACCATCTCCCTGGCATTCCTATAACCTCCCCTTTCCATACTTCCAGAGGAATCACACCCATGGAACCAGGAAACCAAACCAGTGCATCTCAATTCATCCTCCTGGGACTGTCAGAAAAGCCGGAGCAGGAAACACTTCTCTTTTCTCTGTTCCTCTGCATGTACCTGGTACAGTCCTGGGGAACCTGCTCATCATCCTGGCCATCAGCATAGACTCCCACTTCCACACCCCCATGTACTTCTTCCTGGCCAACCTGTCCCTGATTGATTTCTGTCTGGCCACCAACACCATCCCCAAGATGCTGGTGAGCCTTCAAACCGGAAGCAAGGCCATCTCTTATCCCTGATAATGCAAACATTCCTGGGCTCTCTATGGGGAAGCTGTGGCCCTGTGCCTGACCCCAAGGCACTGGGAGAGAAAGCCTTTCCTGACCCCAAGGTGTTACAGGAAAGGGGTCCAATCCAAATCCCAAGAGAGGGCTCTTGGATCTCAGGCAAGTCCACAAAGTGAAAACAAGTTTTTAGGAAAGCAAAGGAATAAAAGAATGACTACTCCATAGACAGAGAAGCCCCGAGGGCTGCTGGTTGCCCATTTTCATGGTTATTTCTTGATGATATGCTAAACAAGGGGAGGATTATTCATGCCTCACCTTTTTAGAGCATCTGGGGTAACTTCCTGATGTCGCCATGGCATCTGTAAACTGTCATGGTGTTACTGGTAGAAGGTGTTCAGGTTCTTGGATTCCCAAACAAAGAATTGGACAAAACACACCAACAAAGCAAAAGCAAAAGCAGCCATGAGCCACAGTGCCCGGCCTCAAGCTGACATGATATTAAGCAGAATGGCTTTGAATAATCAAACCTCTGATTTATTTGTGTTACTTTTCTTCCAAGAGAATTAAATTTTAATTTCTCAGGTGAACAAACAGACCTCCAGATGTGGCCCTGCTGTAGATTTCTATAAGTAAGTACACAGGTTGGAAAGACGAAGAAAATCTGCTTTCTGGTGACTATTCTGGTGAATGAAACACAGAATTTGACCGGGGATGGTGGCTCATGCCTGCAATCCCAGAACTTTGGGAGGCCAAGGCAGGTGGATCATTTGAGATCGGGAGTTAGAGACCAGACTGGCCAACATGGTAAAACCGCATCTCTACTAAAATACAAAAATTAACTGGGTGTGGTGGTGGGCATCTGTAATCCCAGTTACTTCGGAGGCTGAGGCAAGAGAATCACTTGAACCCGGGAGTCGAAGATTGCAGTGAGCTGAGATGGTGCCACCACACTCCAGCTTGGGTGACAGAGCAGGACTCTGGCAAAAAAAAAAAAAAAAAGAATGGCCAGGTGGCACGGTGGCTCACACCTGTAATCCCAGCACTTTGGGAGGCAGAGGCAGGCGGATCACCTGAGATCAGGAGTTTCAGACCAGCCTGGCCAAGGTGGTGAAACCCGGTCTCTACTAAAAATACAAAAATTTGCCAGGCGAGGTGGTGCGCACCTATAATCCCACTTACTTGGGAGGCTGAGGCAGGAGAATCACTTGAACCCGGGAGGCGGGGGTTGCAGGGAGCCAAGATCCCACCACTGCACTCCAGCCTGGGCTACAGAGAGAGACTCCATTTCAAAAACAAAGACAAAAACAGAATTTAAGATAATTGGAAGTTGGGAGGATTGCTTGAGACCAAGTTCAAGGCTGTAGTGTGCAATGATTGTGCTTGTGAATAAACACTGTGCTCCAGCCTGGGCAACATAGCAAGACCCTTGTCTCAAAAAAAAAAAATTAAACTAAAAAAATAAAGTAAGCCTGGGCGCAATGGCTCATGCCTGTAATCCCAGCACTTTGGGAGGCTGAGGCGGCTGGATCACGAGGTCAGGAGTTCAAGAGCAGCCTGGCCAAGATGGTGAAACCTCGTCTCTACTAAAAATACAAAAAAATCAGCCAGACATGGTGGTGCACACCTGTAGTCCCAGCTACTCGGGAGGCTGAGGCAGGAGAATCGCTTGAACCTAGGAGGCAGAGGTTGCGGTGAGCCAAGATCACGTCACTACACTCCAGCCTGGGCAACAGAGCGAGACTCCATCTCAAAAAATAAAATACATAAAAAATAAAATAGGCCAGGTGCAGTGGCTCACGCCTGTAATCCCAGCAGTTTGGGAGGCCGAGGCAGGTGGATCACCTGAGGTTGGGAGTTCGAGACCAGCCATGACCAACATGGGGAAACCCCGTCTCTACTAAAAATACAAAATTAGCAGGGCATGGTGGTGCATGCTTATAGTCCCAGCTACTCGGGAGGCTGAGGCAGGAAAACTGCTTGAACCCGGGAGGTGGAGGTTGTGATGAGCCAAGATCATGCCATCGCGCTCCAGCCTGGGCAACAAGAACAAAACTCCATCTCAAAAATAAAAAAATAAATAAATAAACAAATAAATATAAAATAAGATGAGAGTTTGCCATGGAGAGTCCATGATTCTGGTCAGGGCCTTTTTGGAGTAACCAGAAACCATGGGAAAGCGAAACTACAGCTCTCTCTTCTTGCAAGTTCCCTAAACTCTCTTGCCATAGGCACGCAGGTGATTACAGTGCTAATTGACAGAAGGCTGGAATTGCCAGAGACTTGGGAAGTTATTACAACCTGGGGGCTGCTAGAAATTTGGGAAAATCCCTCCCTCTGTATCCAGCTTGAGCTGAAGCATTTATTTAGACCCCTCCCTCCCCTGTGAAATGAGAAATGCCTCAGGCACCAATAAATCTCTTAAGATTCTGTCAGCCAAACAAAAACATCTCCAACTTGCTCTGTGTTAAGAAATAAAGGTTTCCTAAAGTGCTGGCTCTACAGGCATGAGCCACCATGCCCAGCAGAGGTGGGTAGATTGCTTGAGCCCAGGAGGTTAAGACCAGCCTGGGCAACATAGTGAGATCCCATCTCTACCAAAAAAGAAAAAAAAAGTAGCCAGGCCTGGTGGTGTACACCTGTAGTCTCAACTACCTGGGAGGCTGAGGAAAGAGGATCAGCAGAGGCCGGGAGGTCCAGGCTACAATGAGCCATAATTGCACCACTGTACTCCAGCCTGGGTGACAGAGCAAGATGCTGTCTAAAATAATAATAATAATAATAAACTTAAGGCCGGGTGTGGTGGCTCACATCTGTAATCCCAGCACTTTGGGAGGCCGAGGCGGGCAGATTACCTGAGGTCAGCAGTTTGGGACCAGCCTGGCCAACATGGCAAAACTCCATCTCTACTAAAAATACAGAAATTCACCAGGCGTGGTGGCGGGCACCTGTAATCCCAGCTACTCGGCAGGTTGAGGCAGGCGAATCGCTTGAACCCAGGAGGTGGAGGTTGCAATGAGCCAAGATCACACCATTGCACTCCAGCCTGGGCGGCAGAGAGAGACTCCATCTCAAAAAACAACAAAAACCTAGACTTGGGTTACTGCAGTTCCCAATGGAGACACACGAGGGCAGAAGAAACACGCAGCGAGGACGTCTCAGGTGCTCCAGTCCCTCGGGCACTTTTCACAGACAGCATCTCCCGCCTAGCACAGACATTTTGCTTAATCCTGGTCCCTTTCCCCACCTGACCTCAGTGCCTTTTGCCACTGGGGAGCCAGAAGCCTATAGCCCAGGGGCTTCCCAAGTTAAGGCACACTGGGAAAGGGTTGAAAGTGGCCTTACGTTTTCCAAATTTCCCACCCCAGCCCCTGGGCTCGGTGAATATCTTCCCACCTAACCCAGGACTGGGGCCATCTGGTTTCTGTTGTCCACAGAGAGATACTGAAGTTATGCAAGAAAAAGAGAGAGAGAAGACCGGACCTGGTGGTTCACGCCTGTAATCCCAGCACTTTGGGAGTCTGAGGCAGGTGGATCACCTGAAGTCAGGCGTTCAAGACCAGCCTGGCCAACATGACGAAACCCCGTCTCTACTAAAAATACAAAAATTAGTCCAGGCGTGGTGGCTCAAACCTGTAATCCCAGCACTTTGGGAGGCCGAGGCGGGCAGTTCAAGAGGTCAGGAGTTCGAGACCAGCCTGACCAACATGGTGAAACCCTGTCCCTACTAAAAATACAAAAATTAGCTGGACATGGTGGTGCACGCCTGTAATCCCAGCTACTCGGCAGGCTGAGGCAGGAGAATCACTTGAACCTGGGAGGTGGAGGTTGCAGTGAGCCGAGATTGCGCCACTACACTCCAGCCTGGGCGACAGAGCGAGACTCCATCTCAAAAAAAAAAAAAAAAAAAAAAAATTAGCCAGGTATGGTGGTGTGTGACTGTAATGCCAGCTATTTGGGAGGCTGAGGCAGGAGAATTGCTTGAACCCGGGAGGTGGAGATTGTAGTGAGCCGAGATCACACCATTGCACTCCAGCCTGGGCAACAAGAGCAAAACTCCGTCTCAAAAAATAAATAAATAAATAAATAAAAAGAAAAGAAAAATGAAAGAGAGAGACAGAGGGAGCGCTACAGAGAGAGACAGAGACAGAGAGATACTGCAGTTATGCAAGAAAAAGAGAGAGGGAGGGAAAGAGAGACAGAGAGATACTGTGACAGGCCAGGTCTCACTAACACAGGCCTCTCTAACAACTGTTTCAGCACTGACTGCGTGGTTAAGTTAAATATTTAAAGATGATAGCGCCAGTGCCCTTAGACAAAGGCTGGAACGTAACAAAAGCACACCAAGAGTTTTGCCCAGGCCTTTCCTGGGCCTTGAAGCATGACAAGATAATGAAGGAATTCTTAATGGACCTGTTTAGGATTAAACAAGTTTTATTGGGAGTCTGAAGAAACTCTCTAGACTCTAAAATTTAGCAGGAGACAAGATAAGGGTAACTATCCCTGGCACCTGGACCCATCTAGATTAAGTAAATTTACTGAGGCTCAGAGGAAGGTCTTCAGGACTCAGACCTTAGTTACAGATTAGGAGAAGTTAATTGGCCTGGTGCAGTGGCTCACGCCTGTAATCCCAGCAGTTTGGGAGGCCAAGGCAGGCAGATCACTTAAGGCCAGGAGTTCAAGACCAGCTTGGCCAACATGGCGAAACCCCATCTCTACTAAAAATACAAAAATTAACCAGGCATGATGGTGCACGCCTGTAATCCCAGCTACTTGGGAGGCTGAGGCAGGGGAATCGCTTGAACCTGAGAGGTGGGGGTTGCAGTGAGCCGAGATTGTGCCACTGCACTCCAGACTGGGTGACAGAGCAAGACTTCATCTCCAAAAATAAATAAATAAATAAATAAATAAATAAATAAAAATTAAACTACAAGCCAGGCACAGTGGCTCGCACCTGTAATCCCAGCACTTTGGTAGGCCGAGGTGGGGGGATCACCTGAGGTCAGGAGTTTGATACCAGCCTGGCCAACATGGTGAAACCCTGTCTCTACTAAAAATACAATAGCTGGGCATGGTGGTGCACGCCTAGATAATCCCAGCTACTCGGGAGGTTGAGGCAGAAGAATCGCTTGAACCTGGGAGGCAGAGGTTGCGGTGAGCCGAGATAGCGCCACTGCACTCCAACCTGGGTGACAGAGTGAGACTCTGTCTCGAAAATAAATAAAACTACAGCAGCCACAAGCACTGACAGAGTCAAGTATCAGGCACCCACAGGACAAGGTGGGACACAGTGTCTACTCATCTGCAGAGTGGGGACCAGGGCAGGATTGGGAGAAGAGAGCCAGGGTAAGGGGGAAGAAACAATATTGACAGAATAATTCTGAAAGATTCTCCCCGCGGCCTGAAAACTTGGGAGGATAAACTTGGGGGGATGAATAACTCCTCCCTTCTCAGGCCCAGTCCCAAGGTGCAAGGCTACTTGCCCCAGCAGCATGCGCCAGCAAGATAGCAGAAGCAGGAAGAGAGATGGCCGGAAGACATGTACCCTGGCCGGAAGACACGTACCCTGGCCGGAAGACATCTACCCTGGCCGGAAGACATCTACCCTGGCCGGAAGACACCTACCCTGGCCGGAAGACATCTACCCTGGCCGGAAGACATCTACCCTGGCCGGAAGACAGCTACCTTGGCCGGAAGACACCTGCCCTGGCCGGAAGACACGTACCCTGGCTGGAAGACATCTACCCTGGCCGGAAGACACATGCCCCTGAAGATCAAGAGACGGGCCATCCGGGTACCATGTAGCAGTTACGTCAGACTGGGACACTTGCTGTTTACGGGAGACTATAAAACCCCTGCCCCGTCCTCACTTGGGGCTGACGCCATTTTAGGCCTCAGCCGTCTGCACCCAGGTGCACATTAAAACAGCGTGTTGCTCCACACCAGCTCATGTTGTTTGTTGGCTTGCTCTCGGGGTTCGAAACGACACAAGAGCCTTACAAATTCCATGCTTGGCTCACTCGGCATTTCCTTAACAGATGTTCATTCAGTGCCTGCATGCTTGACAAGCCCCAGGTCTGAGAATACAACGGATCAGTGAATGAACCAACATGCAAAAATCCCTGACATTCTAGTGTTAAGAGTCTACAGGTAGAATAAATAAGTAAATTTAAAAAGATGTTAGATCCCTTTTCTTTTTGAGACAGGGTCTTGCTGTGTTGACCAGGCTGGAGTGCAGGGGCACAATCATAGTAAGGGAGGACACCACCCCTCATATTATGCCCAATTTCTGCCTCCAAAGAAAGAAGAAGTAAAAACTAAATGGCAGAAATCAAATCCATAGGCAGACAGCCCGGCACCGCACCCTGGGCCTGGTTAAAGATCGACCCCTGACCTAACCGGTTATGTTATCTATATATTCCAGATACCTCAAGGAAAAGGTAATTATTTGATTCAAGACCTTCAAAACGAGGCCAGGTGTGGTGGCTCACGACTGTCATCTCAGCATTTTGGGAGGCCAATGCAGTAGGATCACTTGAGGTCAGGAGTTCGAGACCAGCCTGGGCAACACAGCAAGAACCTGTCTCTTTTGAGTTTTTTTGTTTGTTTGTTTGTTTTGTTTTTGAGATGGAGTTTTGTTCTTGTCGCCCAGGCTGGAGTGCAATGGCATAATTTCGGCTCACTGCAACCTCCACCTCCTGGGTTCAAGTGATTCTCCTGCGTCAGTCTCCTGAGTAGCTGAGACTACAAGCGTGCACCACTACGCCTGGCTAATTTTTTTGTATTTTTAATATAGACGGGGTTTCACCATTTTGGCCAGGCTGGTCTGGAACTCCGGACCTCAGGTGATCCACCCACCTCGGCCTCCTAAAGTACAGAGATTACAGGCATGAGCCACCGCACCCGGCCAAGACCCTGTCTCTGAAAATAATTTTTAAAAATTAGCCGGGTGCCTACAGTCCCAGCTACTCAGGAGGCCAAGGTTGGAGGATCGATTGGGCCCAGGAGTTGGAGGCTACAGTAAACTATGATCGCATCACTGCCCTTCACCTAGGGGCAGAGTGAGACCTTGTCTCAAAGAAGAAAGACCTTCGAAAATGAAACAGGGAACCAGAAGGAGGGCAAGGTGGCAGCCAGGGCAAAATCCCTATGATGAGGGCATGCGGCTATGTGCAAGGAATTGCTCTGAGAATAAAGATGGGGACATTCTAGCCGAGCTAAAGAATGATCCATTTACTTATCATTGTAAGAAAATTGGAGCCGTTCCCAGAGATGACTAAGACCTAGGCCTGCAAAGTGTGAAGCCTGCAGGGAGGTGGGGGAAGGAGGCGAAGAACAAAGAACGCAAGGGGGGCCGAGTGAGTCATGGGCAGTGGGAACGGCGGTGCGGTGCATGGCTGGGTGCAGATAATTACCCTCGGGTAGCAGCCAGGCCCAGGTGGGGTGGGTGTCAGCAGGAGATGGACAGAGACCTCCCTCCGCTTCAGAAAGTAAAACCGGTGTTGCCCCAGCCTGGAACTCCCCCAGGAGAGTTGGAATCCTGCCCATCCCCTCCCCTCTTCCTCCAGTCTTTTCTTCCAGCTCAGGCCTGAGCTTTAAAAATCTTGCTTCCCAGCCACGGCCAAGACACGTCCCTGCCTCCCCCAGCAGAATGCAGATTTCAGGTGTCATTCATGAACTATTTAAGGGTTTCTGGAATGTTAGATTTGCCTGCTAGTCTGGGAGTCTTGGAGGGGGAGACCAGCTGTCACACGTCCTGCCCATGGCCGTGATTGGAGCACCCGGCAAGCTTAGGAGACAATGTTCACATGGACAGACTTTCTCTCTGAATGCCTTTGTCAGAGATGTTTAAACCAGAGTGACTCCATCTTGTGTAGGGGCTGGGTAAAATAAGGCCAAGACCTGCTGGGCTGTGTTCCCAGACAATTAAGGCATTCTAAGTCACAGGATGAGATAGGAGGTCAGCACAAGATGCAGGTCATAAAGACCTTGCTGATAAAACAGGTTGCAAAAAGAAGCCAGTCAAAACCCACCAAAACCAAGATGGCCCCAATAGTGACCTCTGGTTGTCCTCACTGCTACACTCCCATCAGTGTCACTGAGTCAGGAAAACAAGGTCTGGAGGCCAAGAATATAAGGTCGATTCACACTTCACCTATGGCAGGAAGGGCGGAAGCCAAGTCAATGACTGTAACCTTACTTCATCCTCTCCATTTACATAGGGCGTACCCCAAGTAAAGGGTATTTAAACTCCGAAAAATTCTGTAATGGGGACTTTGAGCCCCTATGCTCCAGCCCACTCCCACACTGTGGAGTGTGCTTTCATTCTCAATAAATCCCTGCCTCTGGCTGGGGCGCGGTGGCTCACACCTGTAATCCCAGCACTTTGGGAGGCCGAGGCAGCCGGATCACCTGAGGTCGGGAGTTCACCTGAGGTTGGGAGTTCGAGACCAGCCTAACCAACATGGAGAAACCCCGACTCTACTAAAAAAAAATACAAAATTAGCCGGGCATGGGGGTGCATGCCTATAATCTCAGCTGCTCGGAAGGCTGAGGCACGAGAATCACTTGAACCCGGGAGGCGGAGGTTGCGGTGAGCCAAGATTGCACCATTGCACTCCAGCCTGGATGACAGAGGAAGACTCCGTCTCAAAAAAAAAAAAAAAAAAAAAAAATCCCTGCTTCTGCCTTCCTTGCTTTTGCTTTGTTGGTGTGTTTTGTCCAATTCTTTGTTTGGGATGCCAAGAACCTGGACACCTTCTACCAGTAACACCATGACAGTTTACAGATGCCATGGCGACACCAGGAAGTTACCCCAGATGCTCTAAAAAGGTGAGGCATGAATAATCCTCCCCTTCTTTAGCATATTATCAAGAAATAACCATAAAAATGGGCAACCAGCAGCCCTTGGGGCTGCTCTGTCTATGGAGTAGCCATTCTTTTATTCCTTTACTTTCCTAAAAACTTGCTTTCACTTTACAGACTTGCCTGAGATCCAAGAGCCCTCTCTTGGGGTTTGGATTGGGACCCCTTTCCTATGACACCTTGCGGCCCGGAAAGACTTTCTCTCCCAGTGCCCTGGGGTCAGGCACAGGGCCGCAGCTTTCCCATAGAGAGCCCAGGAATATTTGCATTACCAGGAGAGAGTCAGGTTTCAGCGAGAATCTGAGGAAAATCCTCCAGAGAGTATCTAAAACGAGGTGAGGAAAGGGGAAAAGGCATTTTCCTTTAGGACGAACCTGAATTCCTTAGGATACAGCTGGTGAACAATAACATCTGTAACTCCCTCCTAGGTTTTTCAAAGGGAAGGAAGGAAGGTAGAAGGCCCTCTTGAGAAATGTCTTTTTTTTTTTAAGGGACCAGGTCTCCCTCTGTTGCCCAGGTTGAAGTACAGTGGCGCTATCATAGCTGACTGCAGCCTTGAACTCCTGGGTTCAAGCAAATCCTCCCACCTCAGCCTCCCAAGTAGCTAAGACTACAGGCAAGTGATTCTCCTGCCTCAGCCTCTCAAGGATTGCAAGCACCAGCCAAAAAGCCCAGCTAATTTTTGTATTTTTTGTAGAGATGGGGTTTCACCATATTGGCCAGGCTGGTCTCGAACTCCTGACTTCAGGTGATCCACCCTCCTTGGCCTCCTAAAGTGCTGGGATTTTCCCTTAACAAGCATCTATGGGTCGGGCGCGGTGGCTCACACCTGTAATCCCAGCACTTTGGGAGGCTGAGATGGGAGGATCACTTGAGCCCAGGACTTCAAGTTCATCCTGGGGAACATATATAGTGAGATTCGGTGTCTACAGAAAACTTTTTTTTTTTTTTTTTTTTAGACAGAGTCTCACTTTGTCGTCCAGGCTGGAGTGCAGTGGCACAATCTTGGCTCATTGCAATCTCTGTCTCCCAGGTTCAAGAGATTTTCCTGTCTCAGCCTCCCAAGTAGCTGGGATTACAGGCGCGCGCCACCACCCCCAGCTAATTTTGTATTTTTGGTAGAGACGGAGTTTCACCATGTCGGCCAGGCTGGTCTCAAACTCCTGACCTCAGGTGATCCGCCCGCCTCGGCCTCCCAAAGTGCTGGGATTACAGGCATTTGCCACTGCACCCGGCTTCTACAAAAAAATTTAAAAATTAGTCAAACGTGATGGCACATACCTATATAGTCCCAGCTACTTGGGAGGCTGAGGTGGGAGGATGGCTTGAACCCAGGAGGTAGAGGCTGCAGTGAGCCACTGCACCCCAGCCTGGGCGACAGAATGAGATCCCATCTCAAACATATAACCATAAACTTTGGATGTTAAGCATTTGCTGGAAAAAAAGAAAAAAGATAAATTAAAACAAAAAAATCCCCCATAAACTAAATGCCATGATATTTAAATACAAATCAAGTAATTCTGATGAAAGTTATGGCCAAGACATTTTACATTCTTTTTTTCAAAATCAGTCTTCAAAATCTCATCTCATGTGTATTTTACATGCACCACACATCTCTTCTGGTTTTTGTTTTGTTTTGTTTTGTTTTTGAGACAGAGTCTCTCTCTGTTGCCCAGGCTGGGGTGCAGTGGCACAATCTCAGCTCACTGCAACCTCTGCCTCCCGGGTTCAAGCGATTCTCCTGCCTCAGCCTCCCAAGTAGGTGGGATTACACACATGCGACACCATGCCCAGCTAATTTTTGTATTTATAGTAGAGATGAGGTTTTGCCATGTTGGTCAGGCTGGTCTCCAACTCCTAACCTCAGGTGATCCACCCACCTTGGCCTCCCAAAGTGCTGGGATTACGGGCGTGAGCCACCGTGCCCGGCCATAATAATACTTTTTTTTTCATTAAAAAAAAAAAAACTAAAAACAAGAAGGCTGGGCACGGTGGCTCATGCCTGTAATCCCAGCACTTTGGGAAGCTGAGGTGGGCAAATCACGAGGTCAGGAGTTCGAGACCATCCTGACCAATATGGAGAAACCCCATCTGTATTAAAAATACAAAAATTAGCCAGGCGTGGTGGCACGCGCTTGTAATCCCAGCTACTCGGGAGGCTGAGGCAGGAGAATCACTTGAACCTGGGAGACGGAGCTTGCAGTGAGCTGAGATTGCGCCACTGCACTCTGGCCTGGGCGACAGAGCGAGACTCTGTCTCAAAATAAATAAATAAGAAAAAAGAAAGAAAAATGAGGCTCAGAGAGGTTAGGTGACTTCCCCAAGGTCACACAGCAGGATGGAAACCCACACCTTCCTGTCCCTTGTCCACTCCCCTAGGCTTTGTGCCTCACTGGCTTCAGGGAGAGCAGCCATGTCATAAAACAGGTTCTGCCATGGGCCCTCAGCCTGGTTGTCCATGACACCAGCACTGACTGGAGGCCTGGTTCTCTGAGCCCCAGTTTGCTTTCGTGCAAAATGACTTTGCAATAGGCTGTGCCTTCCCTCGGGTATGGTGAGAAATTAAATTGTTAAATAAATTCCCAGGAATAAGGACAGGAAGTGTAGAGTTTCTTTCTTTTCCTTCTTTTTTTTTTTTTTTTTTTTTTTTTTTTTTTCTGAGATGGGGTTTCACTCTTGTTGCCCAGGCTGGAGTGCAATGGTGCGATCTTGACTGGTCTGGTCTGATGGTCTGGGTGGTGTCAGCTGATCCATCGAGTGCAGGGTCTGCAAACTATCTCAAGCACTGATTTTAGGTTTTACAATAGTGATGCTACCTCTGGGAGCAATCTGGGGACGTTCAGACTCTTGGACCCAGAGGCTGCATGACTCCTAAACTGTAATTTCTAATCTTGTAGCTAATTTGTTAGTCCTGCAAAGGCAGACTGGTTCCCAGGCAAGAAGTGGGTCTTTTAGGGAAAGGGCTGTTATCAGTTTTGTTTCAGAGTCAAACCATCAGCTGAATTCCTTCCCAAAGTTAGTTTGGCCTAAGCCCAGGAATGAACAAGGACAGCTTAAAGGTTAGAAGCATTTTAGAACTTTAAAGAGGGCCGGGTGTGGTGGCTCACGCCTGTAATCCCAGCACTTTGGGAGGCCAAGGAGGGCTGGTCACCTGAGGTCGGGAGTTCAAGACCAGTCTGACCAACATGGTGAAACCCCGTCTCTACTAAAAATACAAAAATTATCTGGGCGTCGTGGTGCACGCCTGTAATCCCAGCTACTCCGGAGGCTGAGGCAGGAGAATCGCTTGAATCTGGGAGGTGGAGTTTGAGGTGAGCCGAGACTGTGCCATTGCAGTCTAACCTGGGTGACAAGAGCGAAACTGTCTCAAAAAAAAAAAAAAAAAAAATTAGGCCGGGCGTGGTGGTTGAAGCCTGTAATCCTAGCACTTTGGGAGGCTGAGGCGGGTGGATCACCTGAGGTCAGAAGTTCAAGACCAGCCTGGCCAACATGGTAAAACCCCGTCTCTACTAAAAATACAAAAATTAGGTGGGCACAGTGGGGGGTGCCTGTAATCCCAGCTACTAGGGAGGCTGAGGCAGGAGAATCGCTTGAACCTGGGAGGTGGAGGTTGCAGTGAGCCGAGATCGTGCCACTGCACTCCAGCCTGGGCGACAGAGTAAGACCTTGTCTCCAAAAAAAAAAAAAAAGGAGGTTTCAAACTCTGGCACCAGGCTCCAGAAACTGTACGCTTAATCACTGGGCTTATTTGGTGGGGGGGCGGCTATGATGTAGGTAGTACATGCATTAGAATTTGTGGCGACCACCCAAACCCGGGGTATCCATTTCCCTTTGGCCTGACCCTGGGGTCCCAGCTTATGGAACACAGAGCAGGTGTTTACTTCAGCAGGAGCTGAGCAGTCCCAACACCCCTCCTCCTCCTCCATTCTGAGCACCTCTCCTCCACCCTCCAGGACCTTTTCCGTGATCACTGGGGGAAGACAATGGAATGGCAGCTTAGGGACAAAGGGAGAGCTCAGTTACTAATGCCACTTCTGGGCAGGGTTCCTGCATTCCTTAGGGGGGAAGGGAGCAACCGCTGCTGGATTCCCCGTGGGTTCAAGGAGCTGGAGGACCCAGGAGCCTAAATCTCTGCTCAGATCCTCTGAGCTCTGAGTCTGGTTTTCCCAAAAAACTAGATGGTTTTCCTTAAAAAAAAAAAAAGTTACCAGACACAAGTCAGCCGTGCCCCCGGGAGCTGCCTTTGAAAAGAGGAACCTGGCCAGGAGCAGTGCCTCACATCTGTAATCCCAGCACTTTGAGAGGCCAAGGTGGGCAGACCACGAGGTCAGGAGTTCAAGACCAGCCTGCCCAACATGGTGAAACCCCGTCTCTACTAACAATACAAAAATTAGCCAGGCTTGGTGGTGTGCGGCTATAGTCCCAGCTACTCAGGTGGCTGAGGCAGGAGAATCGCTTGAACCCAGGAGACAGAGGTTGCGGTGAGCCGAGATCGCACCACTGCACTCTAGCCTGGGTGACACAGCGAGACTCCGTCTCAAAAAAAAAAAAAAAGAAAAAAGAAAAGAGGAGCCTGGTGGCCAAGGTGCTGTCTCAAGCTTTGTAATCCCAGCATTCTGGGAGGCTGAGGCAGAAGGATGGCTTGAGCCCAGGAATTCAAGATCCAGCCTGGAGCCGAACTCACACCTGTAATCCCAATACTCTGGGAGGCTAAGGCAGGCAGATCACCTGAACTCAGGAGTTTGAGACCAGCCTGGCCAACATGGTGAAACCTTGTCTCTATTAGAAATACAAAAAAAAAAATTAGCCAGGTGTGGTGGCGAGCACCTGTAGTCCCAGCTACTTGGGAGGCTAGGCATGAAAATTACTTGAACCCGGGAGGCGGAGGTTGCAGTGAGCCAAGATCACACCACTATACTCAAACCTGGGTGTCAGAGCAAGGCTCGGTCCTCACCCCCCACCCACCCACCCCCACATAAAAAAAAACAAAAACCCTGGGCAACATATCCAGACCCAGTCTCTACAAAACAAAAAAGTATAAATCAGCTGGGCACGGTGGTACATGCCTGTAGTCCCAGTTACTCAGGAGACTGAGGCAGGTGGATTGCTTGGGCCCAAGAGTTTGAGGCTGCAGAGAGCTATGATTGCACCACTGCACTCCAGCCTGAGGAACAGAGTGAGACCCTGTCTCAAAAAAAAAAAAAAAAAAAAAAAATGGAAAAGAAAAGAAAAAGAAAGAGGAACCTGGTGGACAATTGTTTATTTTTAAATTTTCTTTATTTAAAAAGTTTAATGACAAATAATAATTGTATCTATTTATGGGGTACAATCTGATATTTTGATATTTGTATGTATATCTTGTGGAATTATTTAAGAAGCTAATTAACATAGCCATCAACTCACCTACTTATCGTGTGTGTGTGTGTGTGTGTGTGTGTGTGTGTGTGTGTGTGTGGTAAGAGCATTTAAAATAAACTTTTTTTTTTCTTAATAGCGACGTCGCTATGTAAAATAAACTCTTTTTAGCAATTTTCAAATATGTGGGCCGGGCATGGTGGCTCATACCTGTAATCCCAGCACTTTGGGAGGCCGAGGCAGGTGGATCACCTGAGGTCAGGAGTTCAAGACCAGCCTGACCAACATGGTGAAACCCCCGTCTCTACTAAAAATCCAAAAATTAGCTGGGTGTAGTGGCGTGTACCTGTAATCCCAGCTACTCAGCAGGCTGAGGCGGGAGAATCGCTTGAACCTGCGAGGCGGAGGTTTCAGTGAACTGTGATCGGGCCACTGCACTTCAGCCTGGGTGACAGAGCGAGACTCTGTCTCAAAAAAAAAAAAAAGAAATATGTAATACATTATTTTGACCTATAGTTACAATAGATCACTAGAACTTATTCCTGCTAACTAAAACATGTGTCCTTTGACCAACTAACTCTCTTCAGTCTTCCCACTTCCCCAGCCCTGGTAACCATCATTCTACTCTCTAATTCCATGAGTTTAACCTTTTTATTTTACTTATTTATTTTTGAGATGTAGTCTTGCTCTCTCACCAGGCTGGAGTGCAGTGGCGTGATCATGGCTCACTGCAACCTCTGTCTCCCAGTTCAAGCAATTCTCATGCCTCAGCCTCCCAAGTAACTGGGATCACAGGTACGATAACACACCCAGCTAATTTTTTTTTTTTGTAATTTTCATAGAGACGGGGTTTCGCCATGTTGGCCAGGCTGGTCTCAAACTCCCGACCTCAAGTGATCCTCCCGCCTTGGCCTCGCGAAGTGCTGGGATTACAGGCGTGAGCCACCTCGCCCGACCAATTTGATCTTTTCAGATACCACAGTTAAGCGAAATCGCACAGTATTTGTCTCACTGTGCCTGGCTTATTTCACTTCGCACAATGTCCCCCAGGTTCGTCCGTGTGGTCAAAAATGACAGTATTTCCTTCTTCTTTAAGGCTGTATAGTATTCATCGTGTGTGTGTGTGTGTGTGTGTGTGTGTGTGTGTGTGTGTATATATATACACACATTTTCTTTATCCATTTATCCATTGATAGAGACCCCAAATAGCCAAAGCCATCTCAAGCAAAATGAACAAAGCTGGAGACATCACACTCTCTGATTCCACATTATATGGCAAAGCTGGTGGGCAAATTTTAACTGGAAGGTTTTGAATACCTCCTCTGGGTGGTCCTCCTTGATTTCTCTCCACTCAAAGCCAACTCTATTTTCATTTTTTTTTTTTTTTTGAGACGGACTCACTCTGTCTCCCAGGCTGGAATGCAGTGGCACGATCTCGGCTCACTGCAACCTCCACCTCCCTGATGCAGGCAATTCTCTGCCACAGCCTCCCAAGTAGCTGGGATTACAGGTGCCCACTACCACGCCCAGCTAATTTTTTGTATTTTTAGTACAGACAGGGTTTCACCATGTTGGTCAGGCTGGTCTTGAACTCCTGACCTCATGATCCACCTGACCCAGCCTCCCAAAGTGCTGGGATTACAAGTGTGAGCCACCATGCCCAGCCCACTTATTCTTTAATTCACATATTTATTCATTTAGCAAGCATATTCTAAGTTGATAGGTGCTGGAGATAAGCAATAAGACTTAGATGACCAAGTGCAGTGGCTCATGCCTATAATCCCAGCACATTGGGAAGTAGAGTCGGGAGGATTGCTTGAGCTCAGGAGTTCGAGACCAGACTGGGCAACATGGTGAAACCCTGTCTCTACTAAAAATACAAAAATTAGCCAGATGTGGTGGTGCACACCTGTAACCCAGCTACTCGGGAGACTGAGGTGGGAGGATCACTTGAGCCTGGGAGGTGGAGGTTGCAGTGAGCTATCGCACCAGTGCACTCCAGCCTGGCGACAGAGCAAGACTCCATCTAAAAAAAAAAAAAATTACCCAGGTGTAGTGGCGTGCACCTGTAATCCCAGCTACTTGGGAGGCTGAGGCAGAAGAATCGCTTGAATCCTCCTGAGTAGCTGGGATTACAGGTGCCCACCACCACACCCAGCTGATTTTTGTATTTTTAGTAGAGATGGGGTTTCTCCATGTTGGTCAGGTTGGTCTCGAACTCCCGACCTCAGGTGATCCACCCTCCTCGGCCTCCCAAAGTGCTGGGATTACAGGCATGAGCCACTGCGCCCAGCCTGAAAACTGTTGCTGAATGCAGTCACATCGGAAGTAAAGGCTTCAACTTGTGAATTTGAGGGGGATACAATTCAGAGCGTCACAGAGAGAGAACATGAGGCTGCTGTGGAATAGCAGAGACTACCGCTTGCAGCAGGACCAGAGGCGTGATTTGCAGGGTCCAGTGCAAAGTGAAAATGGGAGCCTCTTTGCTCAAAAATTATTACAAATTATAAGATATTTAATGTTTTATTTGCCAATCATCCTTCAATAAAGCTGGGGAGGGAGGAATGTAAGTATAGGCTGGGCGCTGTGGCTCACGCCTGTAATCTCAGCACTTTGTGAGGCCAAGGCTGGCGGATCACTTGAGATAGGGAGTTCGAGACCAGCCTGACCAACATGGTGAAACCCTGTCTCTACTAAAAAATACAAAAATTAGCTGGGCATGGTGGTGTGTGCCTGTAGTCCTAGCTACTCGGGAGGCTGAGGTACAAGAATCGCTTGAACCGGGAGGCGGAGTTTGCTGTGAGACAAGATGGCACCACTGCATTCCAGCCTGGGCAACACAATAGGACTTCCTTTCAAAAAAAAAAAAAAAAGTAATGGGTAAATTGCAAAAGTGATTGTGGCCCATGAAAGTCGCAGTGCAGCTCTGGGTCTGGGGAACATTCTAGGGAGACTTTTCCTGACACCCGCAGCTGAGCCTGGCAGCTGAAACTCCCGCTCCCCTCAATGCCCATGGAGCCCTGTCTTCCTGGGAGCCCAGACAGGCAGAACCAAGGGCCCAGGGAGCCAATCAGGGCCTGGGAATAGGCGAGGGGATCCTTCCCAGCCCCGCCCAGCCTCGCAGGGATTAGGCTGACTGGGCACATTTGATACCCGCCAGATCTTAGGCACCTGGCCGCCTGGAGCTGCTGGACATGTCTCTGGGCTTGGCTGGGGGGCTGGAACGAGGGCAAAGAGCAGCCCCCAAGTCTTCCTGAAGCCGTGAATGGCTGGCCTGTGGCAGGGTGCCCCTGGAGGCCGGCGGTGGGCCCTGGTGTTACTAATGCTGAGATACCTGCTGCCCACAGGTAAGGGGATCTCTTGCTCCTTCTGGTCCTCTGGGGAGGAGGGAAATGAGTCCACAATGTCCCAGCCCATCCTCAAATGGCCTTGCATGTCAACCCCACTCCTTCCTTCCTTTTTTTGACAGGATCTTGCTCTGTTGCCCAGGCTGGAGTATGGTGGCATGATCACGGCTCACAGCAGCCTAGACCTCCAAACTCAAGTGCTTCTCCCAATTCAGCCTCCCAAGTAGCTGGGACCACAGATGTGTGCCACCTAGCTCAGCTAATTGTTTTTAAATATTTTGCAGAGACGAGGTCTCCCTGTGTTGGCCAGGTTGGTCTAGAACTCCCAGGCACAAGTGATCCTCCCGCCTTGGCCTCCCAAAGTGCTGGGATTACAGGCATGAGCCACTGCACCCAGCTTCCACTTTGTCCCCCTTTCCAGCTTGAGTCCCTACCCAATTGTCACCTCTTCTGTGTTCCCAACCACCCTCTTCCTTTCCTTCTCCCCCTTTACTTTCTTTTTCTTTTTTTTTTTGAGACAGAGTTTTGGTCTTGTCGCCCAGGCTGGAGTGCAATGGCGCGATCTCAGCAATTCTCCTGCCTCAGCCTCCGGAGTAGCTGGGATTACGGGCGCTAATGTTTTTGTATTTTCAGTAGAGATGGGGCCTGCGGACTTGGTCTTTCTGAGCCTCACTTTTCCCCATCTGCAAAAAGGGCATCATGATAATGATAATAGCATCTTGCTTGAGGGGCCTGTTGGGGCGATGCAGCTCTTGCCTGGCACAGAGGAAGTTTCAATGAGCAAGTGACCTTTGCTTTTATGAAGTGGGACGGTCACAGATGGCTTGAGGGACACAGAAGGGATCCTCTCTGTGTGGCACCCAAGAGAAACCTTATTTTTCATGCAAGCCTGGGGTGGGGGACATGTAGGATTCACAATCCCACGGGGAGCTTAGAGATATTGGCTGATGGTCTGATGGCCCCGTTTTATGGAGGAGCAAACTGAGGTTCAAAGGGTTCAGGATTTTCCCAAGGTCCTGTAGCAGGAGACGTGGGGCCAGTTCCCAATCTCTTCTCTCTTTCTCTCTCTCTCTTTTTTTTTTTTAATAATTCTTATTTTATTTTATTTATTTTATTTATTTTTTTTCGAGACGGAGTTTTGCTCTTGTTGCCCAGGCGGGAGTGCAATGGTGCCATCTCGGCTCACTGTAACCTCCGCCTTCCTGATTCAAGCAATTCTCCTGCCTCAGCTTCCCTAGTAGCTGGGATTACAGGCGTGTGCCACCACGCCCAGCTAATTTTGTATTTTTAGTAGAGATGGGTTTTCACTATGTTGGTCAGGCTGGTTTCAAACTCCTGATCTCAGGTGATCCGCCTGCCTCAGCCTGCCAAAGTGTTGGGATTACAGGCGTAAGCCACCACACCTGGCCAAGAATTTTTTTTTTTTTTTTTTTTGGTGGTGGTGGTTGTTTTTGAGACAGAGTGGAGTGCAGTGGCTCGAACTCGGCTCACTGCAAGCTCTGCCTCCCGGGTTCACGCCATTCTCCTGCCTCAGCCTCCCAAGTAGCTGGGACTACAGGCGCCCGCCGTCATGCCCGGCTAATTTGTTTTTGTATTTTTTAGTAGAGACGGGGTTTCACCATGTTAGCCAGGATGGTCTTGATCTCCTGATCTCATGATCTGCCCACCTCAGCCTCCCAAAATGCTGGGATTACAGGCATGAGCCACTGCGCCCAGCCCAAGAATTTTTATAAAAATAGAGAAAGGAGGCTGGGCGCGGTGGCTCATGCCTGTAATCCCAGCACTTTGGAAGGCTGAGGTGGGCGGATCACCTGAGGTCAGGAGTTCGAGACCAGCCTGGCCAACATGGTGAAACCCCGTCTCTAAAAATACAAAAATTAGCTGGGTGTGGTGGCAGGCGCCTGTAATCCCAGCTACTCAGGAAGCAGAGGCAAGAGAATCGCTTGAACCCAGGAGGCGGAGGTTGCATTGAGCCGAGATCATGCCATCGCACCCCAGCCTGGGGGACAGGAGCAAGACTTCGTCTCCAAAAAAATAAAAAATAAAAATAAATAAAAGTAGAGAAAAAGGGTCTCCCTATGTTGCCCAAGCTGGTCCTGAACTCCTGGACTCAAGCAATCCTCCTGCTTCATCTTCCCAAAGTGCTGGGATTACAGGCATGAGCCATCGCACCCGACCCCAGTCTCTCTTCTTTAACTGGCTCATGTTTCTCCTACCTCTCCTGGGAGGATCATGTAGTCAGTGAATGGGCATTTGTACATTGAGCCCCTGCTATGTGCCCCTGCAGGCTTTGAGGACTTACAGGACACTGGAGAAAAAGTAGACAAGACACTCAGAGGGAGCGATGAGGGATTTGGAGGTTGCATTAGTTTTCTGAGGCTGATATAACCAAGTACCATAGACTGGAGGCCTCAACAACAGAAATGTATCATCTCTCCGTTCTGCAGGCCGGAAGTTGGAGATGAAGGTGTCTGCAGGTTACCATGGTGGTTACCAGAGGCTGGGAAGGGTGTTGAGGAAGATGGATGAGGAGAGGTGGTAAAAAGATACATAATTACAGTTAGATGGGAGGAAAAAATTCAAGACATCTATTGTATAGCAGGGTGACGATAGTTAATGACAGTTTATTGTAGTCTTGAAAAATGCAGGCCGGGCTAGGTGGCTTATGCCTGTAATCCCGGCACTTTGGGAGGCCGAGATGGGCAGATCACCTGAGGTCAGGAGTTCGAGACCAGCCTGGCCAACATGGTGAAACCTCATCTGTATTAAAAATACAAAAAAAAAAATTAGCCAGGTGTGGTGGCTCACGCCTATAGTCCCAGCTACTTGGGTTGCTGAGGCACAATAATCGCTTGAACCTGGGAGGTGGAGGTTGCAATGAGCCAAGATCACGCCACTGCACTCCAGCCTGGGCAACAGAGTGAGACTTGATCTCAAAAAAGAGAAGGGAGAGAGAGAGAGAGAGAGAGGGAGAGGAAAGAAAGGAAGAAAAGAAAAGAAAAATGCAAAGAGAGGCCAGGCGCAGTGGCTCTTGCCTGTAATCCCAGTACTTTGGGATGCCGAGGTGGGAGAATTGCTTGAGCCCAGGAGTTCAGGACGAGCCTGGGCAACATTGTGAGACCCCCATCTCTGCAAAAAAATTTTTTTTTAATTAGCCAGGCCTGCAGTCCCAACATTTTGGGAGGCCAAGATGGGAGGATCACTTGAGCTCAGTAGTTTGAGAACAGCCTGGGCAATACAGCAAAACCTTCTCTACTAAAAATAAAATAAAAATTAGCCAGGCATGATGTTACGTGCCTGTAGTCCCAGCTACTCAGGAGGCTGAGGTCGGAGGATCATTTGGGTCCAGGAGGTTGAGGCTACAGTGAGGTATGATTGTTCGGCTGCACTCCAGCTTGGGCAACAGATTGAGACTCTGTCTCAAAGCAAAAAAAAAAAAAAAAAAAAAAAGGACAGAAAGAAAGTAAAGGCAGACAGCCAGGCACGGTGACTCACGCCTGTAATTCCACACTTTGGGAGGCCAAGGCAGGCGGATCACTTTAGCTCAAGAGTTCAAGACTAGCCTGGCCAACATGGCGAAACCCTGTCTCTACAAAAAATACAAAAATTAGCCAGGTGTGGTGGTGCACCCTTGTAGTCCCAGCTACTCAGGAGGCTGCGGTGGGAGGGTGACTTGAGCCCAGGAAGCAGAGGTTGCAGTGAGCTGAGATCATGCCACTGCACTCCAGCCTGGGTGACAGAGCCAGATCCTGTCTCTAAAAAATTTAAAAAACTAAAAAGGAATTAGCCCAGTGCCTGCCACATGGCCAACAGGATATGTTAGCTTTTATTGTAAAGGTAGGCCTCATTTCATTGTTACTAAGATAGGAGCTTGGCATGGTGCTGGCCCAGTGAGTCTCAGCTATCCTAAAAGCAAGGTGGTTATTACTATTAACTAAAATTGTTTGATCTGGGCTAGGATCTGTATTAAGCTCTTTGTCACCATTAGTCCTAGCAATGACTCTCCAAAATAGATGCTGTCAGACGTAACCCTAATTTACTAGAGAGGAAACAGGCAGAATTTGAGTGGCCTATCCAGGACCACACAGGATTTGAACCCAGGACTAATGATAGAGCCCACTGTGTTTCTCTAAAATTATAGCAACAGGCCAGGCGCCGTGGCTCACACCTGTAATCCCAGCGCTTTGGGAGGCCGAGGCGGGCAGATCAACTCAGGTTGGGAGTTCGAGACCAGCCTGGCCAACATGGCGAAACCCTATCTCTACTAAAAATACAAAAAAATTAGCTGGGTGTGGTGGTCAGTGCCTGTAATCCGAGCTCCTCGGGAGGCTGAAGCACGAGAATCACTTGAATCCACGAGGCAGAGGTTGGAGTGAGCGGAGATTTCCATCACTGCACTCCAGCTTGGGGCAACAGAGTGAGACTGTGTCTCTAAGTAAATAAATAAGAGCAACCAACTAGGGCCTCTCTGGCTTCCTGAAATTCAGGCTGGCTGGGCAGATTTAAAAAATGTAGGACGTGCTGATGTTGTGGAAATACAACTAAATGCAAGAATCTTCTCTCAACTCAGGAAACCTCTCCACAAAAGTAGAAGGGAAAGGAAAAAAATACCCCTTAATGTTATCACTGAATAAGCATTCATCCAGAGTGTGGTGCACGTCGTAGATAAGGCCTAGGACATTGCAAAGGCAGAAAGAAATCTTGCCCTTTTTCATTTATTTTATTTATTTATTTTTTTGAGACAGAGTCTCGCTCTGTCGCCCAAACTGGAGTGCAGTTCAGTGATCTCAGCTCACTGTAAGGTCCGCCTCCTGGGCTCAAGCGATTCTCCTGCCTCAGCCTCTTGAGTAGCTAGGATTACAGGCAAGAGACACCATACCCAGCTAATGTTTTGTTTTGTTTTTGAGAGAGTCTTGCTCAGTCGCCCAGGCTGGAGTGCAGTGGCACAATCTCGGCTCACTGCAAGTTCTGCCTCCCGGGTTCATGCCATTCTCAGGCCTCAGCCTCCCGAGTAGCTGGGACTACAGGCGCCCACCACCACGCCCGGCTAATTTTTTTGTATTTTTAGTAGAGATGGGGTTTCACCGTGTTAGCCAGGATGGTCTCGATCTCCTGACCTTGTGATCCACCCATCTCAGCCTCCCAAAGTGCTGGGATTACAGGCATGCGCCACTGCACCCGGCCTTGTTTTGTTTTTGAGACGGAGTCTCGCTTTGTCGCCCAGGCTGGATTGTAGTGGTGTGAACTTGGCTCACTGCAACCTTCCCCTCCCCGGTTCAAATGATCCTTCCACCTCAGCCTCCGGAGTAGCTGGGATTACAGGCGCCCGCCACCATGTCTGGCTAATTTTTTTTGGGATTACAGGCGCCCGCCACCATGTCTGGCTAATTTTTTTATTTTTAGTAGAGACGGGGTTTTGCCATGTTGGCCAGGCTGATCTCAAACTCCTGAACTCAAGCGATCCACCCACCTTGGCCTTCCAATATGCTGGGATTACAGGCATTTGAGCCACCATGCCCAGCCCTCATTTTTGTATTTTTAGTAGAAATGGGGTCTTACCATGGCTGGTCTCAGACTCCTAGCCTCAAGTGATCCGCCTGCCTCATCCTCCCTAAGTGCTGGGATTACAGATATGAGCCACCGTGTCCAGCCTGCCTCTCACCCTCTTTCTTTTTCTTTTTTTTTTTTTGAGACAGAGTCTTGCTCTGTCGCCCAGGCTGGAGTGCAGTGACGCAATCTCGGCTCACTGCAACCTCCGCCTCCCAGGTTCACACCATTCTCCTGCCTCAGCCTCCCGAGTAGCTGGGACTACAGGCGCCCACCATCTCACCCGGCTAATTTTTTGTATATTTAGTAGAGACGGGGTTTCAACGTGTTGCCAGGATGGTCTCGAGCTCCTGACCTTGTGATCTGCCCACCTCGGCCTCCCAAAGTGCTGGGATTACAGACATGAGCCATCGTGTCCAGCCTACATCTCACCCTTTTTCTATAGCCAAGCAGATAAACCTGTCACCTTCATGCCTCATGATAAATAATCATTAGTTCTCCAGTAACAGAACTTGACAGCACCGTTTATCAAACGCATAGTTCATCCTGGAGCCACCTAGTCATTGTGACGACGGTGTGAGCTAATTGGCTTTATCCAGGGGAAAAACACATCTTTCATCATGACAGGAGGGAGTTTTGCAATTTGGAGCAAGGCATCCACTGAAGTTATATTTTGACCCTTCCCCGAAACCAGAATACAGGAAGAATTAAGCCTCTTGTTTCTCGTTTTTCTTTGTCTTTACACAGACTAGTCCAGGATATAAAGTCAAAGGGGAGGTGCTTAAATATACAGCAGAGGGGAAAGAGTTGGGGTAATCTGCCTTGTTGTTGTCATTCAGGGGCAGCAAAGACATCATAGAATTAGATCTTGCAGGACAGGGGTGATAAACATCCTAGAGGGAGGACAGCTGGGACGTGACGCTTTTACCAACCCCACCCCTGGAGTGCTTGTAAAATGGCCACCCCATCCCTGCTGTGCTCCTAGAATCCTGTCCTACTGGGGATAAAACCCAAACCAGCCTAGGCAACATAGCAAGACCATGCCCCTACAAACAATACAAATATTAACGGCTGGGCACGGTGGCTCATGCCTGTAATCCCAGCACTTTGGGAGGCCGAGGCGGGCGGATCACCTGAGGTCAGGAGTTCGAGACCAGCCTGGCCAACATGGTGAAACCCCGTCTCTACTAAAAATACAAAAAATTAGCCAGGCATGGTGGCAGGCGCCTGTAATCCCAGCTACTCGGGAAGCGGAGGCAAGAGAATCGCTTGAACCCGGGAGGCGGAGGTTGCAGTGAGCCGAGATCACGCCATTGCACTCCAGCATGGACAACAAGAGCAAAACTCCATCTCCAAAAAAAAAAAAAATTAAAGCCTGGCACGGTGGTTCACACCTGTAATCCCAGCACTTTGGGAGGCTGAGGCGGGTGGACCACCTGAGGTCGAGAGTTCAAGACCAGCCTGACCAACAAGGAGAAACCCCGTCTCTACTAAAAATACAAAATTAGCTGGGCATGGTGGCACATGCCTGTAATCCCAGCTACTCAGGAGGCTGAGGCAGGAGAATCGCTTGAACCTGAGAGACGGAGGTTGCAGTGAGCCGAGATCGCATCGTTGCACTCCAGCCTGGGCAACAAGAGCAAAACTCTGTCTCAAAAAAAAAAAAAAAATTAGCCAGGCGTGATGGCACATGCCTGTAATCCCAGCTACTTGAGAGGCTGAGGCGGGAGGATGGCTTGACCCGGGAGGTGAAGATAGGCAGTGAGCTGAAACTGCACCACTGCACTCCAGCCCGGGAAACAGAGCCAGAACCTATCTCAAAAAAGAAACAACGAAACCCAAACTCCCCCTGTGGCCTGAAATCATCATATCCTGCTCTGTTGCCTCTTGTCTCTTCCTTCCTGCTACTCTGACCTCTGCTGCTTCCAAATCTTTTTAAGTGGTTTGGACCACAGGGCCTTTGCACTTGCTTTTTACTCTGTCTGGGTGTTCTCTCTGCAGCTCTTCTGAAGGTTGGTTCCTTCTCATCCTTCCAGGGATGACCAGGAAAATAATACTGGAAATAACCTGATGTAGAATCTTTAGAGCATTTAAATATCTGAATTACCTTGTTTGTGTAGTTATCATGTGTGCCGCACCAGACTGTATGTTTTTCATGAGAGTGGCAAGCTGCAAGGTGGTGAAGAGCACCCATCATTGTGGGTTCAAATCCCAGCTCAGCCATACGACTTGGGGGCCTCTCTGAACCTCTGTATCCTCCTCTATAAAATGGGAGATGTAGAAGGGTTTTTATTTATTTATTTATTTATTTATTTATTTATTTATTTATTTATTTCTGAGGCAGGGTCTTGCTGTGTCACCCAGGCTGGAATGCAGTGGCAAGGTGATCTCAGCTCACTGAAGCCTCAACCTCCTGGGTTCAAGCAATGCTCTCACCTCAGCCACCCAAGTAGCTGGAACCATAGAGGTGCATCACTATGCCTGACTAATTTTTTGATTTTTTTTTTCTTGCAGAGATAGGGTCTTGCTACATTGCTCAGCCTGGCCTCAAACTCTTGGGTTCAAGCGATTCTCCTGCCTCAGCCTCTCAAAGTGTTGGGGTTACAGGCGTGAGCCACCACATCAGGTTTGAAATGTTTCTAGAAGGACTAAATAAACAACTCCTAGAATACGTAGTGGGTACAGAATAGGGGCTATGTGTCTCCCAAAGTACTGGGATTACAGGCATGGGATACCATGTCTGGCCAGCAAACACTTAAATAGTCCCTATTCTGCGCCCACTACGTATTCTAGAAGTAGCAGCAGATAGAAGAGAGAGATGGAGCTGGGCATAGTGGCTCATGCCTGTAATCCCACCACTTTGGGAAGCCGAGGCAGGAGGATCACTTGAGGCCAGGAGTTCGAGACCAGCCGGGAAAACACAGTGAAATCATGTCTCTATCAAAAAATACAAAAATTAGCCAGGCATGATGGTGCACGCCTGTAATCCCAGCCAAAGTCCCAGCACTTTGAGAGCCTGAGGCGAGAGAATCGCTTGAGCCCAGGAGCTCGAGGCCAGCCTGGGCAATGCAGCAAGACCCTACCTCTACAAGAAAAAAAAATCAAAACTAGCCCTGGCAACATAGCTAGACCCCATCTCTACAAAAATTAAAGAACTAGCTAGGCATAGTGGCACACACCTGTGGTCTCAGCTACTCAGGAGGCTGAGGCAGAAAGATAGCTTCAGCCTGGGAGGTTGCGGCTGCAGTGAGCCGTGATCTGCCACTGCACTCCAGCCTGGGCAACAGTGTAAGACTCTGTCTTGCAATAAATAAATAAATAAATTGCTGTTTTTATTGTTATAGTAGTAATAGTAATAATAGGGCCGGGCGCGATGGCTCACACCTGTAATCACAGCACTTTGGGAGGCTGAGGCAGGTGGATCACGAGGTCAGGAGTTCGAGACCAGCCTGGCCAACATGGTGAAACCCCATCTGTACTAAAAATACAAAAATTAGTTGGGCATGGTGGGGCACGCCTGTAATCCCAGCTACTCGGGAGGCCGAGGCAGAAGAATTGCTTGAACCCGGGAGGTGGAGGTTGCAGTGAGCCGACATCACGCCATTGCACTCCGGTCTGGGTGACAGAGAGAGACTCCGTCTCAAAATAAATAAATAAATAAATAAATAAATAAATAATACCATAATCCTTAGCTTTTAGCACAGAATTCAGCCTCTATTAGATCACTAGATATTTATTGCATGGACAGACAGATAGATGGATGGCAAATTTTTGAGCAAAGAAAGGTAGTGTAAAGCCGCTTCCAAGCTTTGGGCATGACTTAGATCAAAACCAGAGAGGCTGGGCCAGGTGCAGGAGCTCATGCCTGTAATCCCAGCATTTTGGGAGACCGAGGTGGGCGGACCACCTGAGGTCAGTAGTTCGAGACCAGCCTGGCCATCATGGTGAAACGCCATCGCTACTTTAAAAAATAAATAAATAAAAATAAAAAAATAGCCTGGCATCATGGCGCGTGCCCGTAATCCCAGCTACCTGGGAGGCTGAGGCAGAAGAATCACTTGAGTCTGGGAGGCAGAGGTCGCAGTGAGCTGAGATCGGGCCACTACACTCCAGCCTGGGTGACAGAGCAAGCCTCCATCTCAAAAAAAAAAAAGAAAAAGAGAAAGAAAAAGAAAATCAGAGAGGCTGGCTGGGGATGGGGAAGCCGGGAGGGAGCTGTTCTGCCCACTTCGTCTCAGTTTATACTTCCAGCCTCCACATCTCCCGACTTCAGAACTCAAAAGTCAGATAAAACCGAGAAATGCTATTAGTAAACACAGTTGTGTTTGTCTGTGAGGAGTTACAATGTTGAAAATTGAGTTTAATTTTAAACCATCCTGGGTGACTTAGCTCTCAGCGCTGCCCCCTGGGGAGGGTGCAGTCCTTGGCTCAAAGCCAGAGAATTACCATAGTAAAGCCTGTATTTGTCCCAACTGACAGTTTTGATCCCCTTCCTTGTTTTTTTTTTTTTTTTTTGCTTGTTTGTTTGTTTGAGACTCACTCTGTCACCCAGGCTGGAGGGCAATGGCACGATCTCGGCTCACTGCCACCTAACTCTCGGGTTCAAGCAATTCTTCTGTTTCAGCCTCCTGAGTAGCTCGGACTACAGCCTCCCACCACCACACCTGGCTAATTTTTGTATTTTTAGTATAGATGGGGTTTCACCATATTGGTCTGGTTGATCTCCAACTCCTGACTTCAGATGATCCGCCCGCCTCGGCCTCCCAAAGTGCTGGGATTACAGGCGTGAGCCACCGCGCCAGGCCTCCCCTCCAATTTTTGAAGGAGGAAAAAAAAAGAAACGTTCCCTGCCAGGCATGCTCCCACCCTCATCCCCCAGCCCTCCACACTGTTTTATTGTTTGCCCCTAGGGCTGCCTCTGTGGTTTCGCAGGAGGAAAAGGACCCGAGGCGTCCTCTGCACGCTGAGCCTAGTGACAGATCCTGTTTGGTTAGGATTAAGGAGGGTGAGGACTGCTGAGCTCAAGTCTCAGCAAGGCCTGCCAGGAAGGCATTTATACACTGCAGGCCTGGGGCGCCTCAGGGTTCCAGGGTTAGTGGAGGTGGAAACAGAGAAGCTTGAGAGTAAATAGAGGGAGTTTGTAATCCCTCTCCCACTTCCCCGCCCTGGTTTCATCCCTCTCCCACCTCCCCGCCCTGGTTTCATCCCTCTCCCACCTCCCCGTCCTGGTTTCATCCCCCTCCCTCTCCCGCCCTGGTTGGGTGGAAGGGATGAGAAGCGGCAGACAGAAGAGAGAGAAGGAACTGGGGGCAGTGGCTCACACCTGTAATCCCAGCACTTTGGGAGGCGGAGGCGGGAGGATCACTTGCACCCAGGAGTTCGATACCAGCTTGGAAAACAGTGAAACCCCATCTCCATCAAAAAAAAGAACAAAACAAAAATTATCCAGGTGCGTGCCTATAATCGCAGCTACTTGAGAAGCTGAGGCAGAAGAATTGCTTGAACTCGGGAGGCAGCCGTTGCAGTGAGCCAAGGTCATGCCATTAGCCTCCAGACTGGGCAACAGAGTGAGACTCCAACTCAACAACCACCACCACAACAACAAAAAAGGAGACAGATGGAGAGAGAATCAGATGAGGGAAGAGTGAGGAGAAAGGGGAGAGAGACAAAGGAAGTGAGGAGGAGAAAGAAGGAAGAGGGAGGGGACTGTGAAGGGAAAGTAAATTTCGGGGTCCCCAGATTGTGTCCGGAATTGGTTCCTTCCGGTGGGTTCTTGGTCTTGCTGACTTCAAGAATGAAACCGCAGACCGTTGCAGTGAGTGTTACAGTTCTTAAAGATGGTGTGTCCCGAGTTCGTTCCTTCAGATGTTCAGATGTGTCCGGAGTTTCTTCCTTCCAGTGGGTTCCTGGTCTGGCTGACTTCAGGAGTGAAGCTGTAGACCTTCACAGTGAGTGTTAACAGCTCATAAAAGTAGTGTGGGCTCAAAGAGTGAGCAGCAGGAAGATTTATTATGAAGAACAAAAGAACAAAACTTCCACAATGTGGAAGGGGACATGAGCAGGTTGGCACTGCTGGTTCAGATGGCCAGCTTTTATTACCTTATTTGGCCCCAACCACTTCCTGCTGATTGGTCCATTTTACAGATCGCTGATTGGTCCATTTTACAGAGGGCTGATTGGTCCGTTTTTACAGAGCGCGGATAGGTATGTTTTTACAGAGGGCTGATTGGTGCGTTTACAAACCTTTAGCTAGACACAGAGCGCTGATTGGTGTGTTTTTACAGAGTCCTGATTGGTGCATTTACAAACCTTTAGCTAGACACAGAATGCTGATTGGTGCGTTTACAATCCTTTAGCTAAATAGAAAAGTTCTCCAAGTCCCCACCTGACCCAGAAGCCCAGCGGGCTTCACCTCTCAAAATCATTAAGCTAGAGCGAAAAGTCAAGCTGGGAACTGCTCAGGGCCAACCTGCCTCTCATTCTATTCAGAGTCCCTCCTGTGCTCACTTAGATACATTCATATCTGATTGGCTCCTTTGGAGAGGCTCATCAGAAACTCAAAAGAAGGCAACCTTTTGTCTCTTTATCTACCTATGACCTGGTTTTTGTTTTGAGATGGGATCTCATTGTGTCACCCGGGCTGGAGTGCAATGGCACAAATACAGCTCACTGCAGCCTCCACCTCCTAGGCTCAAGCGATCTTCCCATCTCAGCCTCCCGAGTAGCTGGAACTACAGGTGCACATCACCATGCTTGGCTAATACAAATTAAAAAAAAAAAATTAAGTTCCTCACCCATAGTACATAGCATTATGGCTACAACTGTGGTAGCCCCAGTAGCTGCATTGCAAGAGCTCACTAGCTGTGCATGGCTAGTGAATGATGTAAAACACACCCAAGGCTTAGGAAATGTCCAACGGTCCATTAAACAGTGACACTCTCTAGCGAGACTTCCAGGAGCTGCTTAGCCAATTAGTAGCTCCACGACGACCTTAGGCAGATTATTGTACTTCTCCTTACCTCTCTCAGGTTCCTCATCTGTGAAATGAGCTTAATAATAGTACTATCAAAATGTTGTTGTGAGGGCCTGGTGCAGTAGATAATGCCTGTAATCCCAGCACTTTGGGAGGCCAAGGCAGGTAGATCACTTGAGGTCAGGAGTTCGAGACCAGCCTGGCCAATATGGTGAAACCCCATCGCTACTAAAAATGCAAAAACGAGCTGGGCACGGTGCCAGGTGCCTGTAATCTCAGCACGTTGGGAGGTCGAGGCGGGCAGATCACTTGAGATCAGGAGTTTGAGACCAGCCTGGCCAACATGGTGAAACCCTGTCTCTACTTAAAACACAAAAACTAGCTGGGCATGGTAGTGCACTCCTGTAGTCCCAGCTACTCAGGGGGCTGAGGTAGGAGAATCGCTTGAACTCAGGAGTTAGTGGTTGCAGTGAACCAAGATCGCACCACTGTACTCCAGCCTGGGTGACAGAGTGAGACCCCGTTTGAAAAAAAAAAAAGTTGTTGTGAGAATTCTATGATTTAATATATTAAGAGTTTTTGGAAAGATGCCTGACATGGTAAATCCTTACTATCATTATACTAAGTTGTTAATATTTATATCATGTTATTAATATTATTATGTATTGTAAGTATATATGTGTGTGTGTATATATATATATAAATATATATATATATTTTTTTTTGAGACAGAGTCTCACTTTGTCGCCAAAGCTGGAGTGCAGTGGCACAATCTCGGCTCACTGCAACCTCCACCTACTGGGTTCAAGTAATTCTCTGCCTCAGCCTCCTGGGTAGCTGGGATTACAGGCACCTGCCACCATGTCCGGCTAATTTTTGTATTTTTAGTACAGATGGGGTTTCACCATCTTGGCCAGACGGGTCTTGAACTCCTAACCTCGTGATCCACCCACCTTGGCCTCCCAAGGTGCTGTGATTACAGGCGTAAGCCACCTCGCCCGACTTATTTATTTATTTATTTATTTCTGAGACAGCATCTCACTCTATTGCCCAGGCTGGATTACAGTGGTGCTATCTCTGCTCACTGCAACCTCTGCTTCCTGAGTTCAACTGATTCTCCTGCCTCAGCCTCCCGAGTAGTTGGCGCCTGCCACAACGCCCGGCTAATTTTTGTATTTTTAGTAGAGACAGGGGTTTCAACATGTTGTCCAGGCTGGCCTCGAACTCCTGACCTCAGGTGATCTGCTCACCTCGGCCTCCCAAGTGCTGGGATTACAGGCGTGAGCCACTGCACCTGGCTAAATGTCCCATTAGCTTTAATCCTCATTCAGTACAATTATGTGCTGTATAACAACATTTCAGTCAATGACAGACTGCATATATGACAGTGGTCCCAAGAGATTGTAATACTGTATTTTTACTGTCCTTTCTCTATGTTTAAATACATGTAGATACACAAACGCTTATCATTGGCCTGGTGCAGTGGCTCATATCCATAATCCCAGGACTTTGGGAGGCCAAGGTGAGAGGATCACTTGAGCCCAGGACTTCAAGACTAGCCTGGGCAACATAGTGAGACCCATCTCTAGTTGTAAATATATTTTAAGTTAAAATATAAATTTTAAGGCTGGGCGCAGTGGCTCACACCTATAATCCTAGCAATTTGGGAGGCTGAGGCGGGTGGATCACCTGAGATCAGGAGTTCGAGACCAGCCTGGCCAACGTGGTGAAACGCCATCTCTACTAAAAGTACAAAATTAGCCGGGTGAGGTGCCAGGTGCCTGTAATCCCAGCTACTGGGGAGACTGAGGCAGGAGAATCACTTGAACCTGGGGGCAGCAGTTGCAGTGAGCTGAGATTGTGCCACTTCACTGCAGCCTGGGCGAAAGAGCAAAACTCCATCTGGAAAAAAAAAATATATATATTTATATATATATATATATATATATATATATATATATATATATATATATATATGTAAAATCTAGAGGTCATACCCTACAGCCTGGGTGTGTAGTTGCTATACCATGTAGGTTTGTATAAGTACACTCTATGGTATTTGCACAATGACAAAATTGCCTAGTGATGCATTTCTCAGGATATATCCCCGTTGCTGAGTGAGGCATGACTTGTACCTAGAAGGTACACATTTTTTCAGTCCATGCTATATCTGGGCAAACTGAAGTTCAGAGAGGTTTTGTCAGTCCCCAAAGGTCAATAGCATTGAAGAGGTGAAACTGGGAGGTGATCTGGGCTTGTGAGATTCCAATGCCCACGCCTGTCCACTGGATCATGAGCTCTCTTGAGGCAGAAGCCTGTGCAAGGGTCCTGGGGTAGACATCACAGGGTGTGTCTGGCATGTGATGCATTGGTCAGTTTTGCTGGAATGCAGGGTATGTGGAAGGGAGGGGTGTGGTGGAGACAGATGAGAAATAAAGTCAGAAATAAAGTAGAAGCTAGTCAGACATTGAGCAGCAACCTGTGGATTTGCAGCTCCATTTAAGGAACTACAGAGTGCTCTAAAAAGCATCTAATCTGAGACAGCCTGCCCCTTAGCTCCTGCTGGTGAAAACAGCAGTTCACATCTAGGGAGCAAGAACGATTGTGCTGGCCAGGTGCACTGGCTTACTTCTGTAATCCTAGCCCTTTGGGAGGCCGAGGTGGGCGGATCACTTGAGGTCAGGAGTTGGAGACCAGCCCGGGAAACATGGCAAAACCCTGTCTCTACTAAAAAAACAAAAATTAGCCGGGCGTGGTGGTGGGTGTCTGTAATCCCAGCTACTTGGGAGGCTGAGGCAGGAGAAACACTTGAACCCGGGAGGCAGAGGTGGCAGAGAGCCGAGATCGTACCACTGCACTCCAGCCTGGGGGGTAAAGCGAGACTCCGTAACAAACAAACAAACAAACAAACAAACAAACAAACAGATTGTGCCGAGACCCATGCCTGTGGTCCATCTCACAGAGTCCTTACAAGAACCTTTTTCTTTTTTTTTTGAGACAGAGTCTAGCTCTTTCACCCAAGCTGGAGTGCAGTGGCACGATCTCAGCTCCCTGCAACCTCCACCTCCCGGGTTCAAGGAATTCTCCTGCCTCAGCTTCCCAAGTAGCTGGGATTACAGGCACGCACCACCACGCCTGGCTATTTTTTGCATTTTTTTAGTAGAGATGGGGTTTTGCCATGTTGGCCAGGCTGGTCTCTGACTCCTGACCTCAGATGATCCGATCCACCTGCTTTGGCCTCTCAAAGTGTTGGGATTTCAGGCGTGAGCCACCACGCCAGGCCAATAACTCTTTTGTTTTTATTTTTGAGACAGAGTCTCTCTCTTAGCCAGGCTGGAGTGTAGTGGCACGATCTTGGCTCACTGCAACCTCCTCCTCCTGGGTTCCAGCGATTCTCGTGCCTTAACCTCCCAAGGAGCTGAGACTATGGGCACGCACCACCATGCCCAGCTAATTTTTTTTTTTTTTGAGATGGAATCTCACTCTGTCACCCAGGCTGGAGGGCAGTGGCGTGATCTCGGCTCACTGCAAACTCCACCTCCCGGGTTCAAGCAATTCTCCTGCCTCAGCCTCCCGAGTAGCTGGGATTACAGGCGCCCGCCAACACGTCCAACTAATTTTTGTATTTTTAGTAGAGATGGGATTTCACCGTGTTGGCCAGGCTGGTCCCAAACACCTGATCTTGTGATCTGCCTGCCTTGGCCTCCCAAAGTGCTGGGATTACAGGCGTGAGCCACTGTGCCCTGCCACCTGGCTAATTTTTTTTTTTTTTTTGAGATGGAGTTTCGCTCTTGTTGCCCAGCCTGGAGTGCAATGGCGCGATCTCGGCTCACTGCAACCTCCACCTCCCGGGTTCAAGTGATTCTCCTGTCTCAGTCTCCCAAGTAGCTGGGATTACAGGCGAGTGCCACCACGCCCGGCTAATTTTTGTATTTATAGTAGAATCAGGGTTTCATCATTTTGGTCAGGCTGGTCTCGAATTCATGACCTCAGGTGACCTGCCCACCTTGGCCTCCCAAAGTGCTGGGATTATAAGCATGAGCCACTGTGCCCGGCACTAATTTTTATACTTTTAGTAGAAATTGGGGTCTCACCATGTTGCCCAGGTGGGTCTCAAACTCCTGGCCTCAAGCAATCCTCCCATCTCAGCCTCCCAAAGTGCTGGGATTATAGGTGTGAGCCACCTTGCCTGACCCAGTTGTGTTTGTTTCTTTTTTCTTTTTGAGACAGAGTCTCACTCTGTCCTCCAGGCTGGAGTGCAGTGGTGTGATCTCAGCTCATACAACCTCTGCATCCTGGGTTCAAACGACTCTCTTGCCTCAGCCTCCCTAGTAGCTGGGATTACAAGCACATACCACCATGCCTGGCTAATTTTTCTTTTTTTTTTGAGACGAAGTCTTGTTCTGTCACCAGGCTGGAGTGCAAGTGGTGTGATCTCGGCTCACTGCAACCTCCGCCTCCTGGGTTCAAGCCATTCTCCTGCCTCAGCCTCCCACGTAGCTGGGACTACAGGCGCGCCACCACACCCAGCTAATTTTTGTATTTTTAGGAGAGACAGGGTTTCACCATGTTGGCCAGGATTGTCTCCATCTCTTGAGCTCGTGACCTCGTGATCTACCTGCCTCGGCCCCAAAAAGTGCTGGGATTACAGGCACGAGCCACCAAGCCTGGCCTAATTTTTTGTATTTTTAGTAGAGATAGGGTTTCACCGTGTTGGCCAGGCTGGTCTCAAACTCCTCACCTCAAGTTATCTGCCCGCCTTGGCCTCTGAAAGTCTTGGGATTACAGGTGTTGAGCCATTGTGCCTGGCCACAGACCTGGCTTTTATACTTTTCTTTTTCTTTTTTTTTGAGACGGAGTTTCACTCTGTTGCCCAGGCTGGAGTGCAGTGGCATGATCTCGGCTCACTGCAACCTCTGCCTCCTGGGTTCAAGTGATTCTCCTGCCCCAGCCTCCCGAGTAGCTGGGATTACAGGTGCACACCACCACACCTGGCTAATTTTTTTTTTGGTAGAGATAGGGTTTCACCATGTTGGCCAGGCTGGTCTCGAACTCCTGACCTTAAGTGATCAGCCCACCTCGGCCTCCCAAAGTGCTGGATTACAGGCATGAGCCATCGCATCTGGACTGACTTTTATATTTTTTATAAGAAGTCCGTGATCTTTTCCTCCTTACAAAAATTCAATAACCATTCATTCAATCGTTCATTCAATAAATATTTATTGATGATCTATAATATGGTAAGGAGAGACTAAGAGGTTAATATAAGAGGAAATACAACTATGGTTAGTAATAATCACATTAAGCATTGTTATTATTGGTCGTATTTAGATAAGAATTGATTACAACAGCTCGTTCCACCGTTAATTTGATATTTACACTATGACATCACAAATGGAGAGCTTTACATGAATAATCCCATTTAATCCTCTTAACAGATCTGTGAGATCAGATCGTCTTTTTTTCTTTTTAATAATTTTTGTTGTTTGCTACATGACATTGTGGGATACATGCAGATGGTGCAATGGTTACTACAATGAAGCAGTCATGTATCACTTTCTATTTGTATATGTTTTGTAGTTGAGGAAACTGAGGCTTGGAGAGATTAAGCAACTTGCTCAAGGAAATATAGCTGTGGGTGATAGAGGTGGGGCTTGGGGGTTTGATCCAGGGGTGGGGTGGTCCACACCCTTCATCCACCAGTAGCTTGAGGGTGGTTTTTCAACGGAAGGAGACAGGAGTGAGGAGAACATCTGGGAGTGGCTAAGGTGGAGAGAAAAATCTGAGATGAGAGAGAGAGGGCCAGGCGCAGTGGCTCTCACCTGTAACCCTAGCACTTTTGGAGGCAGAGGTGGGAAGAGTACTTGAGTCCAGGAGTCCAGGAGCTCAAGACCAGCCTGGGCAACATGGGAAAACCCCATTTCTACTAAAAATACAAAACATTAGCTAGGCATGGTTGTACGTGCCTATAGTCTTAGCTACTTGGGAGGCTGAGCTGGGAGGATCCCTTGAGCCCAGAAGTTCAAGAGCAGCCTGGGCAACATGGCAAAACAAGGAAGAAAGAAAGAGAGAAAGAGAGAGAAAAAGAGGGAGGGAGGGAGGCAGGGAGGAAGGAAGGAAGGAAGGAGAAAGAGAAAAAGAAAGAGAAGGAAGGACGGAAAAGAAGGAAGGAAGCAGAAAGGGAGAAAGAAAGAGAAGGAAGGAAGATGAAAGAAAGAGAAAGAAAGAAGGAAGGGAGGGAGGAAGGAAGGAATGAAGGAAGGAAGGGCCAGGCGTGGTGGCTCATGCCTGCAATCCCAGCACTTTGGGAGGCCGAGGAGGATGAATCACCTGAGGTCAGGAGTTTGAGACCAGCCTGACCAACATGGTGAAACCCCGTCTCTACTAAAAATACAACAAATTAGCCGGGCATGGTGGCGGGCACCTGCAATCCCAGCTACTCAGGAGGCTGAGGCACGAGAATCGCTTGAACCCAGGAGGCGGAGGTTGCAGTGAGCCAAGATCGCGCCGTTGCACTCCAGCCTAGGTGACAGAGCGAGACTATGTATCAAAAAAAAAAAAAGAAAAAGAAAAAAAAAAAACAGGAAGGAAGGAAAGAAGGAAGGAAGGAGAGAAAGAAAAAAGGAGAAAAAGCTTTGAGCAGAAGCTCTTTTCCATCATGTTTTCATCCCACAAACATTACTGAGCACCTACAATGTCAAGAGAGGTAGTGGGTGTCAGGGTTCAGGGGTGAGGTAGCACAGTCTTTGAAGAGGTGACATCTGAGCAGAGGACTTAATGAAGTGAGGATGGAACTATTTAGGTATTTGGGTAGGTGGAAGGATGTTCCAGGAAATGCAAGGGACTTGAGGCAGGAGTGAGTTTGAGAAACAGCAAGTAAACCAGAGCAGCTGAAACAGAGTGAACGAGGTGGGAGAGAAGGAATCTGGGGAGGGACATAAGGGCAGGGACAAACCAATAGGTCCTTGGAGGGAATTTAGTTTTGACTCTGACATATATGCAGAACCATGGAAAGACATTAAGCTCTGGTCTATCATTTTCTTTTTCTTTTTTTTTGGACAGGGTCTTGCTCTGTGCCCCAGGCTGCAGTGCAGTGGCTGATCACAGCTCACTGCAACCTCAACCTCCTGGGCTCAAGTGATCCTCCTGCCTCAGTTTCCCAAGTACCTGGGACTACAGGTGTGCACTACCATACCTGGCTCATTTTTTATTTTATTTTATTTTTGAGATGGAGTCTTGCTCTGTTGCCCAGGCTAGAGTTCAATGGCATGATCTCAGCTCACTGCAACCTCCACCTCTTGGGTTTAAGTGATTTTCCTGCCTCAGCCTCCTGAGTAGCTGGGATTACAGGCACCCGTCATCATGCCCAGCTAATTTTTGTATTTTTGTAGAGACAAAGTTTCACCATGGTGGCCAGGCTGGTCTTGAACTCCTGAACTCAGGTGATCTGCCTGCCTCTGCTTCCCATAGTGCTAGGATTATAGGCATGAGCCACTGCGCCTGGCCTATTTTAATTTTTTTTTTTTTTGTAGAGACAGGGTCTCGCTATGTTGCCTAAGTTTATCTTGAACTCCTGGGCCTAAGCAGTCCTCTTGCCATGGCCTCCCAAAGTGCTGGGATTACAGGCATGAGCCACCACGCCCAGCCCATGCTTTGACTCTTATTTTTCACAGCCTCCTTCTGGCTGCTGTACAAAGAGCAGACTGTTAGGGCACAAGGTGGAAAGAAATCAGAGAGGCTATCAGGAGGCAATAATCCAGGAGGAAGACGTGGATACATTTTAAAGACCTTGAAGGATTAGCTGATTCGTGAAACACTGGGAGAGGAGGTGGGTGCAGGGGATTCCGGAGATTCAGGTGGTTGAGAATGGAAGTCTTTGGTGTTCCGGTGGATCTCTGGAAGCCACAGCATTCAAGGGGTGGGTACGAATATAACTGAGGGATCTGCCAGGGAGACTTGCAGACAGAGAGCAAAACAGTTTTTGAATTTGCCAGGGGCTCCGTTAGAAAGGCAAAAAGGCATGGTGGCTCACACATGTAATCCCAGCACTTTGGGAGGCCAAGGTGGGTGGATCACGTGAGGTCAGGAGTTTGAGACCAGCCTGGCCAACATGGTGAAACCCCGTCTCTACTAAAAATACAAAATTAGCCGGGCGTGGTGGTGCGTGCCTGTGATTCCAGCTACTTGGGAGGCTGAAGCAGGAGAATCACTTGCATCTGGGAGGTGGAGGTTGCAGTGAGCTGAGATCGCATCACTGCACTTCAGCCTGGGCAACAAGAGCGAAACTCTGTCTCAAAAACAAACAAACAAAAAGACAATATATTGGCCAACTCTCTGGGCCTCTGTTTTAATGTTAATGCTAGTCAGTTGTGCTTAAACTCCAAAGGGAGGGGTACAATGAGGGATGTCCAAATCCTCTCCTTATCATGGGCTGAACTAGTTTTTCAGGTTCCTTTGGGATCCTCTTGGCCAAAAGAGGGGTCTATGAAGTCGGTTAGGGGGCTTAGAATTTTATTTTTGGTTTATAAGATGAGCTTTCTGGAATTAGAATTTTCAGAAGGGTCTGGAAGAGAGGAAACAGTGAGTGTTACTTTCTCTCGGTCACTTCCGTAGAGGAAGGAAGAAGGGGATTTTCCTCTGGAGTTGTAGGAAATGTCCTGTATCTGGGTCAGGTGGTCCAAGAGGCCTGTAAGAAAAAGTTCTGGGCCGGGCGTGGTGGCTCACGTCTGTATTCCCAACACTTTGGGAGGCCAAGGCGGGCAGATCACTTGAGGTCAGGAGTTCCAGACCAGCCTGGCCAACATGGTGAAACCCTGTCTCTACTAAAATACAAAAATTAGCCAGGCGTGGTGGTGCTCGCCTGTAATCCCAGCTACCTGGGAGGCTGAGGCAGGTGAATCTCTTGAACCCGGGAGGCAGACGTTGCAGTGAGCCGAGATTGCGCCACTGCACTCCAGCCTGGGCGACAGAGTGAGACTCTGTCTCAAAAAAAAAAGGAAGGGAAAAAAAAAGCTCAGTTTCGGAGGTCAAGGTGGGCCAATCACTTGAGGTCAGGAGTTCGAGACCAGCCTGGCCAACATGGTAAAACTCTGTCTCTACTAAAAATACAAAAATTAGCCAGGCGTGCTGGTGTGCATCTGTAATCCCAGCTGTTCTGGAGGCTGAGATAGGAGAATTGCTTGAACCTGGGAGGCGGAGGTTGCAGTGAGCAGAGATGACACCACCGCACTCCAGCTTGGGTGACAGAGCAAGACTCCATCTCAAGAAAAAAAGAAAAAGAAAAAGCTCTGAGGTGGGGTGAGTCATAGGTAAAGAACTGGGAAATCTTGGGTCACCAGAATGAGTGGAAGAGGGGAGGAGGGAAAAAAGAAGAATGACCACAGCTACCCTTTACGGAATCTGATTACGGTTGGGCCATTCACAGAGAGATTTCAGGGAGAGATTAACTCATTTAAGGCCCTCTACAGCTCAGCAGTGTGGGAGCACATTCACCCCCATTTTCCAGATGAGTACACTAAGTCAGAGAGCAGAAGAAATGTACTCAAGTTAACAGCCTGTTGGTGGCTCAACAAAACAGACACAGACAGCAGGCATGGTGGCTCTGCCTGTAATCCCCACACTTTTTTTTTTTTTTTTTTTTTTGAGATGGAGTCTCACTGTCGCCCAGGCTGGAGTGCAGTGGTGCGATCTCAGCTCACTGCAACCTCTGCCTCCCAGGTTCAAGTGATTCTCCTGCCTCAGCTTCCAGAATAGCTGGGATTACAGGCACCTGCCACCACGCCCAGCTAATTTTTGTATTTTTAGTAGAGACGGGGTTTCACCAGGTTGGCCAGGCTAGTCTGGAACTCCTGACCTCAGGTGATCCACCGGCCGTGGCCTCCCAAAGTGCTGGGATTACAGGCATGCACCACCATGCCCAGTTAATTTTATATTTTTAGTAGAGATGGGGTTTCTCCATGTTGGTCAGGCTCTTCTTGAACTCCCGACCTCAGGCGATCTGCCTACCTTGGCATCCCAAAGTGTTGGGATTACAGGCGTGAGCCACTGCGCCTGTCCCAGTTATCTATTGTTATAGAAGAAACGACCCCAAAATGCAGAGGCTTGAATTAATAACGCAGTACATGTCCGTAGTTTCAGCTATTTGGGTAGCTGAGATAGGAGGATCGCTTGAGCCCAAGAGTTTGAGTCCAGCCTGGGCAACATAGCGAGACCCCATCTCTTAAAAAAAAGAAAAACACCAAACACCAAACACCCTCTAGCAAACAATGATTTGAATGACTGGATTTCTCACTGGAAACCATGGACTCTAGAACACAATGGAACAATGTTTCTAAAATGCTGAGAGAACATGACGATTCACTAAGAATTCTATACCAGTGAAAATATCTAGGAGGAACAATAGTAAAATAAATAGGTAAAAGAAAATGAAAAGAAGTCATCATCAACAGAATTGCTCTAAAAGAAACAGTAAAGAGAGTTATTGAGGCTGAAGGGAAATGATATCAAAGAGAAGCCCGGAACTTCAAAAAGAAAGAAGAGTGAGTGAAGGCAAATTTATTGGTCTTTAGATCAAGAGAAGTCGTACTCAAGGTGTTTAAGGTATAATACCTGAGGACCATCGTCCACACCTGTACCTAATTTATTTATTGATCGATTGAGATGAAGTCTCCCTCTGTCACCCAGGCTGGAGTGTAGTGCTGGGATCTTGGCTCACTGCAACCTCCGCCTCCCAGGTTCCCAGGTAATCCTCCTGCCTCAGCCTCCAGAGTAGCTGGGACTACAGGTGCACGCCACCAAGCCTGGCTAATGTTTGTATCTTTTGTAGGGGTGGGGTTTCGCCATGTTGCCCAAGCTTGTCTCCAACTCAAGCAATCTGCCCGCCTCGGTTTCCCAAAGTGCTGGGATTACAGGAGTGAGCCACCGTGCCCAGCTCCTGGCACTAATTTACATCATAAAAGACATGACTGCTTCCATATTGTCACCAGGATACTCAAGCAGCTCTATAGAGAGGCCTACATGGCAATGAACTGAGGTTTTCTGCCCACAACCAGCACTAATTTGCCAAGCAAATGAATGAGCCACCTTGGAACTGGATCCTCCAGCCCACATCAAGCCTTCAGATGACTGCAGCCCCAGAGGACATTTGACTTCAACCTCTTGAAAGCCACTAAGCACCCATCTAAGCTGCCCTTCAACTCCTGGCTCACACGAATTATGTGAGAAAATAAATGTTTCTTGTTTTTTGTTTTGTTTTTATTTTTGAGACGGAGTCTTGCTCTGTTGCCCAGGCTGGAGTGCATGGCACTAACTCGGCTCACTGCAACCTCCGCCTCCCGGGTTCAAGCGATTCTCCTGCCTTAGCCTCCTGAGTAGCTGGGACTACAGGTGTGTGCCACCATGCCTGCCTAAGTTTTTTATTTTTAATAGAGGTGGGGTTTCATCATGTTGGCTAGGCTGGTCTCAAACTCCTGACCTCAGGTGATCCACCCACCTTGACCTCCCTAAGTGCTGGGATTTCAGGTGTGAGCCACCGCGCCCGGTCATGTTTCCTTAAAGCTTTTATCCTATAAAGGGGTGACTTGCAATGTGGAGGGTAGATTTAATCATTGCAAGGGAGGTTTGGAGGTCTGTTTCTAGTCATGTATTCCCTTGATGCCATCCTCAGACCTGTAATCCCAGCACTTTGGGAGGCCAAGGAGAGTGGATTGCTTGAACCCAGGAGTTCAAGACCAGCCTGGGCAACATGGGGAGACCCCGTCTCTACAAAAATAGAAAAATTAGCTGGGTGTGGTGTTACGCAACTGTAGTCCCAGCTACTCGAGAGGCTGTCACTCAAGCTAGAGTGCGGTGGTGTGATCTCAGCTCACTGCAGCCTGGACCTCCTGACCTCAAGCGATCCTCCTGCCTCAGCCTCTTGAGTAGCTGGGACTACAGGCACGCGACACCACCCCCAGATAATTTTTGTATTTTTGTATAGACAAGGTCTCCATATGTTGCCTGGGCTGGTCTCGAACCCCTGTGCTCAAGCGATCCACCCGCCTCGACCTCTCAAAGTGCAGGGTTACAGGCATGACGACAGCATGATTTTCTTTCTCCTTTTCTTTTTCTTTTTTCTTTCTTTCTTTCTTTTTTTTTTTTTTGAGACAGTTTCACTCTTGTTGCCCAGGCTGGAATGCGGTGGCACAATCTCAGCTCACTGCAACCTCTGCCATCCAGGTTCAAGCGATTCTCCTTCCTCAGCCTCCTGAGTAGCTGGGATTACAGGCACCTGCCACCGCACCCAGCTAATTTTTTTGTAGTTTTTAGTAGAGACGGGGTTTCACCTTGTTGGCCAGGCTGGTCTTGAACTCCTGACCTCGTGATCCACCTGCCTCAGCCTCCCAAAATGCTGGGATTACAGGCGTGAGCCACCGCACCCAGCCTTTATGGCATGATTTGCAAGGGAATATGTGACCAGAAACAGAACTACGAAGCTCCCTTGCAATTATTAAATTAAAAGAAAAGGAAAGAAAAGAAAATGATGCTGTTGTAGGGCCAAATAACTGGTTGTATGTTTGTAAGCAGGTGGGTCTCAGAGGGTCGGGGGGTTGTGTGAAGATGCTGTTGAAGTATATCTCTGAGGCTGCACGTCCCTGAGGGAGCATACCAGCGGTGGGTAAGGGCTTGGGAATGGCTGCATCTGGGCGTGTAGGATAGGTTTAGGGTGAGTCTGACCATGAGTAACTCTGACTGTGGGTCGGTGTGGCGTTAGTGACAGGGGCGTGTGGCTCCAGATAGAAGTGTTCTAAAAAAAGACAAAGAAAAGAGCTCACCTTCCTCTTCTATCTTCTCCCTGGGAGGCCAGCCCCTAAAGTCCTAGGAAGGGGCCAGGTCTTGAATCCCAGTGACCCTGATCCGTTGAGGGCGCTTCTGCTGGAAATAGGTGTTTCTGGAAGCCGGGTGGTGACCCTGGTTCTGTCCCTCGGGCCACACTCACAGAGAGTGAGTTTCGTTTATTTGAAACGCAACCATCCAGAAATACAATTGTTTTTTGTTCCACACCTTACTTTTTCTTCCACCTGACACTCACAAATAGTTTCCTTTTGCTTGTGTGATGTGAATGAAGAAGATTGACATCAGCCCTGGTTGAGAATCTGCAGGGGAGAGGCAGACAAGTCCAAACATGTTGCTCAACTCCTGTCCAGGGTGGACAATCGAGGTGAAAGGGCTTCCTTGGGGAGCAGGTATCTGATCCTCAGTTACCCCTTCCCACAATAATGGATGAAGCATATGGAGGCAACAGCATTCAGCAGTGTAGCCTAGTGGCTAGGTCCTCTGACTTTGAAACCACGTGGTCTGGGTTTAAGTCTCAGCTGTGCTACTAATCAGCTGTGTTACACTGGGAGCTTAGCCTCTCTGTGTCTTCAATCTTATTCTTTGTAAAATGTGGATACTTACAAGATAGCAGTACCCAGTGTGGAAATATGTGAGCCAGGTGTGTAATTTTGAATTTTGTATTTATTTATTATTTTTTAAGATGGAGTCTCGCTCTGTCGCCCAGGTTGGAGTGCATTGAGTTAGGGTTTCGTTGGTTTCTTTTGTGTTCGTTTTGTTATTGTTGTTGTTTTAGTTTTGAGACAAAGTCTTGCTCTATCGCCTATGCTGGAGTGCGGTGGCATGATCTGGGCTCACTGCAGCCTCCGCTTCCTGGGTTCAAGCAATTCTCCTGCCTCAGCCTCCCGAGTAGCTGGGATTACAGGCGCTCACCACCATGCCTGGCTAATTTTTATATTTTTAGTAGAGACGGGGTTTCACTATGTTGGCCATGCTGGTCTCCAACTCCTGACCTCAAACGGTCTGCTCGCCTTGGCCTCCCAAAGTGCTGGGATTACAGGCGTGAGCCACTGTGCCCGGCACTTTTTCATTTTTTACATTGACAAAGCATTGTATATATTTATGATATACAAGATGATGTTTTGAAATTTGTATACATTGTGGACTGAGTAAATTGAGCTAATTAACATACATATTACTGGCTGGGCACGGTGGCTTACGCCTGTAATCCCAGCACTTTGGGAAGCCAAGACGGATAGATCACAAGGTCGGGAGATTGAGACCAGCTTGGCCAACATGATGAAACCTTGTCTCTACTAAAAATACAAAAATTAGCCGGGCATGGTGGCGGGTGCCTATAATCCCAGCTACTCAGGAGGCTGAGGCAGGAGAATCGTTTGAACCCAGGAGACGGAGGTTGCAGTGAGCCGAGATCGTGCCACTGCACTCCAGCCTGGGCAACAGGGTGAGACTCCATCTCAAAAACAAAACAAAACAAAACAAAACATATATATTACTTCCCATACTTTTTTTTGAGAACCCCCAAAATCTACTCTCTTAGCAATTTCCAAGTACAGTCAGCTCTCTGTCCTGTGTCTCTATTTGCTTTTGGGCAAATGGAAAGAGGATAGAGAGCCTTTCTGCACCCACTTTTTTTTTTCTCTTGAGAAAGAGTCTCACTCTAGCCTGGAGTGCCATGGTGCAGTCTTGGCTCACTACAACTCCCACCTCCCGGGTTTAAGGAATTCTTGTGCCTCAACCTCCCGAGTAGCTGGGATTATAGGAGCCTACCACCATGCCTGGCTAATTTTTATATTATTAGTAGAGACGGGGTTTCACCATGTTGGCCAGGCTGGTCTCGAACTCCTGACCTCAAGTGATCCACCCTCTTGGCTTCCCAAAGTGCTGGGATTACAGGCATGAGCCACTGCGTCCAGCCCATGCCCACTTCTTAATTGCCTTCAGTTCAACAGTCCTTATGCTAAAGGGGCATATTTTGGGGTGGCGTAGTCTGGTTCCCCACATCTGTTTGTTTGCAGAGCTCTAAGGTTATTGGGGGGTAGGGGCTCCAGTTAGTGATTACCGTAAATGACAGCAGGTGTTATATGAAGGAAATATAGTATTTGGGGCTGAGGATGAGGGAAGAAGATGGAGTAATCTCTAGGAGTTTGGGGCAAATAAGTGGATGTTGGAATCATTCAGCAAGAGAGGAAAAGCGGCACCTAGAGCAGTGATCGGCTCTGTCACACCCATATTAGGCTTGGAGTCGGTCAGCTATCTCCACAGGGTAGCTGAGTATTTGATTCTGGAGCGGGGCTGGAGTTATAGGTTTGGATGTTACAAGTGCGTGGGAGGTTATTGAAACCATGCAGTGGCCAGGGAGGATGCTTGGTGAGCATGATCTAAAAGGGCTGAGATGCCTGTAATCACTGACTAATTTGTGTATTTTTAGTAGAGATGGGGTTTCACCATGTTGGCCAGGCTGGTCTCAAACTCCTGACCTCAAATGATCCACCTGCCTTGGCCTCCCAAAATGCTGGAATTACAGGTGAGTCACCGCGCCTGGCCAACCTGTGTAATTTTTTATGCTAGGTCTGATAAAGAGGTGGATAGTCATAGAGAAGTAGGATTGGGTTAAACAAAAAAAAAAAAAAAAAGAAAGGATCTTCTGCCAGTAAACTGGGGGAACTTAGCCAGGCCTGTTTGTTCAGATTCTTCTCTGTGTCCTGTGTCTTCAGAGATAAGATGTTCCTCTCCTCCCGGGATAGGGAGGGCTGCTCTCACATGAGAGTCTTACAACTTGCTTTAGGAGAGAAGAGAAAAATGTGAGAATAACCTTCATGCCTTGGACATTTTTTTCAAGTGCCAAGGTGCTTGTTTATTTCTAAGAACCTATGATGTGCCTGGCCCTGAGCTGGCTTCCAGGACACAATTATTTTCTAATAACCACATTTCAGAGGCTTATGGGGGAACTTGCCTCTTTCATTCATCCGATATTTAATAAAGATGACTATCTTTCATTCATCTATCCATCTTCTATTCATCTATTCACCCACTCATTCCTGCATCCACCCACCCACCCATTCATCCATTCACCGATCCATTCATTCATCCACTCATCCATGCATTCATCCACTCATCCATCTATCCATTCATGCACTCACCCACCAACCCCTTCTTCCATCCATGCAGCCATCTTTCATTAATCCATCCATCTTCTATTCATCCATCTATTCACCCATTCATTCCTCCACCCATCCACCCACCCACCCATCCATCCACTCATCAATCCATCTATCTGCTCATACATCCATCTATCGTCTGTCCACTCATCCACCCATCCATTCATTCATCCAGCAAATAGTCACTAAATGCTCAGTTTGCCCAAATACATCCACTTGAACTCTCTGCGAGGTCTGTGAAGTGAAGCAGAATGGTCACCTGGGGTCTTGTTAGACATGAAGAATCTCCGCAGGATCTTCCGTATCAGAAACTGCATTTTAACAAATGATTCCTATGTGAATCAAACCTTGAGGGATACTGCTATAAACTTTACCAATATTGACAAGAGTTGTCAAAAAGATTGGGAGGAAGCATGGTCAATGCTGGCATACACTGGTGACTCCATAAATAGTAGGACTGCTATTTTCAATTTTTATTATTGTAGCTTCCAGAATTGGACAGATTAGCACTAGACTAGCTCTTTTTTTTGTTTGGGATGGAGTTTTGCTCTTGTCACCCAGGCTGGAATGCAATGGCACGATCTCAGCTCACTGCAACTTCCTTCTCCCGAGTTCAAGTCATTCTCTTGCCTCAACCTCCTGAGTAGCTGAGATTACAGGTACCCACTACCATGCCCAGCTAATTTTTGTATTTTTAGTAGAAGGGGGGTTTCACCATGTTGGCCAGGCTGGTCTCGAGCTCCTGACCTCAGGTGATCCACCCGCCTCGGCCTCCCAAAGTGCTGGGATTACAGGGGTGAGCCACCGCGCCCGGCCTAGACTAGCTCTTTGTTTGCAAGGTTTGTTTGCAATTTGGGGTCTTATTCAGGGAGCACTTATAGAGGATTGCCTCTTCTGAAGTATACTTATGGCTCTGAGTTTTCTAAATCACTGAAGAGGTAACACTGATCCTGTCTCCTCTCTCTCCTCTCCCCAGGAGGAATTACTCATCTGGACACCAGAGCCCTGCTAAGCCTGGTTGCAGCCACAGAAATCCTGGGTGGTCACCATGTACCCACATCTCAGCCTTCTGCAGAAGACCTGTGCCCTGATATGCCCATCTCCTGTGGGAGAACCCTGGGGACACGCTCACTGTCCAGAGTCAGGAACATGAATGATGCTTCTGTGGACACCAAGAGGCAGCCAAACAAGAGAAAGCTGATCAGAAGGGCAGCATTCAGCCCAGTTCCTTCAAGGTCACCTGCGAGGCCAGAGGGTCCTATGACTTCCTGGAGGCTGGACGCCAGAGGCCAGGGATGGGACCCTGGAGGCCCCAGGATCCCAGTGTATCCCGTGCCCACTGAGCAGTCACATCCTGCACACTCAGGGCTGAGGCACCAGCCACATTCCCACACCAGGACCGGAGACAGTAAGTCCTTGCCTTTTTAATCTTCTAACTAGACATTGGCCCTGCCAGTGTTTAAATGTCTTTGATTCTTTATTGGTCTAGTAGACGTTGAAACTGTGCCTGATGCCAGAGGATGGGCAAATTGGTTGCAGCTTCACGCAGTTTAGAGTCAACTAGTGAAGACAAGTTTGAAACAAAGTATCACAATAAAACAGGATGATGTGGAGGATGGGGGAAGTATGTAGCATTCAGGCAGGTAGGGTGAACCTAGGGGAGGGAATCAGGAGTTTCTCTGCTAGTGAAATTTAAGCTGCAGTGAGGAGTTACCCAGCAAAGATGGCGTCCACATGATGTAAGGGTTTAGTAGATGTTTCTTCTCCCTCCTTCCAACCTCTTTTTGTTTTTTTGGTTTTTTTTGAGACAGAGTCTTGCTCTGTTGCTAGGCTGGAGTGCAGTGGCAGGATCTCAGTTCACTGCAACCCCTGCCTTCCAGGTTCAAGCGATTCTCCTGTCTCAGCCTCCTGAGTAGCTGGGACTACAGGCATGCACCATCATGCCCAGCTAATGATTGTATTTTTAGTAGAGACGGGGTTTCACCATATTGGCCAGGATGGTCTTGATCTCTTGACCTCATGATCTTCCTGCATCGGCCTCCGAAAGTGCTGGGATTACAGGCGTGAGCCACTGCACCCGGCCCCAACCTCCTCTTTCTTTCTTCCTCCTTTTCTTCTCCTCCTGCTTCCCTCTCCTTTTCTCCCTGACCCTCCGCCTCCTTTCTTCCCCTCGTTCTTTTCTCTTCTTCCCCTTTCTCCTCCCCCTTCTTCTCCTCCTTCAATTATTTTATTTATTTATTTACTTATTTATTTTTCGAGACCAGATCTTGCTCTGTCTTGCTCCACCCAGGCTGGAGCACAGTGGCATGATCTGGGCTCACTGCAACCTCCGCCTCCCAGGTTCCAGCGATTCTCCAGCCTCAGCCTCCCAAGTAGCTAAGATTACAGGCACCTGCCAACACGCCCGGCTAATTTTTGTATTTTTAGTAAAGATGAAGTTTCACCATATTGGCCAGGAAGGTCTCGAACTCCTGACCTTAGGTGATCTGCCCACCTCAGCCTCCCAAAGTGCTGGGATTACAGGCGTGAGCTGCCACACCTGGCCCTCCTTCAATTATTTTTAAAATGAATTACTATTTGTTTCTTGAGTCCTTCCAGTCATGGACAAAGCCTGTAGTTCTTTTTTGTCCAGATCTCAAGCTAAGGATGGTTTTTACTGGCCGGGTGCAGTGGCTCACGCCTGTAATCCCAGCACTTTGGGAGGCTGAGGCAGGTGGATCACTTGAGGTCAGGAGTTTGAGACCAGCCTGGCCAACATAGTGAAACCCCATCTCTACTAAAATACAAAAAATTAGCTGGGCTTGGTGGCGGGCGCTTGTAATCCCAGCTACTCAGGAGGCTGAGACAGGAGAATCACTCGAACCTGCGAGGCAGAGATTGCAGTGAGCTGAGATCACGCCACTGCACTCCAGCCTGGGTGACAGAGTGAGACTCTGTCTTAGAAAAAAAAAAATAGGATGGTTTTTACATGTTTGAAGGATTGGGGAAATCAACAACAACAAAAGAGGAAGACAGAGCAGGGTTCTCATGGCCTGTGAAAACTAAGATACTCACTCTGGGCCCTTACTGAAAGTTTGCCAAGACCTGGAATATATTATTTTTTATTTTATTTTATTTATTTATTTTTTGAGACAGAGTCTCTCTGTGTTGCCCAGGCTGGAGTGCAGTGGCGCCATCTCGGCTCACTGCAACCTCCGCCTCCCAGGTTCAAGTGATTCTCCTGCCTCAGCTTCCCAAGTAGCTGGGATGACAGGTGTGTACCATCACACTTGGCCAGGAATATATTATTAACGTGATTTTCATTTGTTTCTTTTTATGTGTGTGTGTGGGGAGGGGCTGCTAGAAAGTTTTAAAACACATATATGGCTTGCGTTGCATTTCCACCATAAGAGCTGCTTTAGAGCGTTTCCAGGGTCTGTCCCAGAGCAAGGCACATGTAAGGTAGGGAGGGACAGGGAGGCCAGTGGTTATTCTTGTACATCTCTGACTTCAGAGTTCTGGATTTGAACCCTTGGTTGTGAACACATTGCTGAACCCATTGGTTCTCAGCAGCTCATCTGTTCAATGTGGCTCTAAGAGCATTTAATGATATAGCACATTGGCCAGGTATGGTGGCTCACACCTGTAATCCCAGTGCTTTGGGAGGCCAAGGCAGATTGCCTGAGCCCAGGAGTTCAAGACCACCCTGGGCAAAATGGTAAAACCCCATCTCTACAAAAAAATTAGCCAGGCTTGGTGGAGGGTTCCTGTAGTTCCAGCTACTTGGGAGGATGGGTTGAGCCTGGGAGGCAGAGGTTGCAGTGAGCCAAGATCGCGTCACTACACTCCACTCCAGCCTGGGTGACAGAGCAAGACCCTGTTTCAAAAAAAAAAAAAAAAGAGGCCGGGCGCGGTGGCTCATGCCTATAATCCCAGCACTTTGGGAGGCCGAAGTGGGCGGATCACCTGAGGTCAGGAGTTCGAGACCAGCCTGACCAACACGGAGAAACTCCATCTCTACTAAAAATGCAAAAATTAGCAGGGCGTGGTGGCACACGCCTGTAATCCTAGCTACTCAGGAGGCTGAGGCAGGAGAATCGCTTGACCCCAGGAGGCAGAGGTTGCAGTGAGCCAAGATCATACCATTGTACTCCAGCCTGGGCAACAAGAGCGAAACTCCATCTAAAAAAAGGAGACAGAGAGATAGCACAAAGCAAACACTTAACACAATGCCTGGCTCACTGAAAGCATCAGGTAGAGGATGCCTCTTTTAAGTCATTTGCTGAAGACCCTCTAAGTCACTACCTCCTAGAGCCAAATGTGCTCTTTACATATTTCAGGAGAGCTCAGTGCACCTCAGCCTTCTGGGCTTTCCCAGTCTGGCCTCACGGGAACGCTTCCTTGCTGTCCTTCTCAGCTGCTTCTGTGAACACTTGAGATTAGCAGCTGGTCATGATGTTACCTGAGCTGGCTAACACCACAGGTGTGCCCAGGAGACCATGAAGAGCAGTAGGGCGAGGCTGTCATGAGGCCAACTGTGCAATGAGAAGGGGTCCTCCCAGCAGCTGGGAAGTGCCATACAGCTTCTGCTGGGGAGCTGGAGGAAGTACGAGTCAGCTCCCACCTGGCCAGCCAGTAAGAGCAGGGCAAGGTGTTGGCACTGGACATTTGGGAGTGTACGTGCCACCAGCTCCTGTCATCTGCTTTGTTTCCGAACTCAAAGAGTGAAGCAGACCTGTCTTGTGGACACTAACTTCCTTCATTCATTCCTTCGCTTGTTTGGCAAATATTTATTGAGCACCTGCTGGGTGGTAACACCTGTGTCAAACACCATGGGATGTACAGTAAACAATGTGGTCAGGGCTTCTGCCCTTGCCAAGGCAGAAAATCAAGAAGATAAAGGTTGTAAAAAAGTCTATGCAGCTGCAGGTCGTGGCATGTGCCTGTAGTCTTAGCTACTTTGGAAGCTGAGGTGGGAGAATCACTTGAGCTCAGAAGTTAGAGGCTGTAGTTTGTGATGATTGCTTGTGGATAGCCACTGCACTCCAGCCTGGGCAACATAGCAAGACCCCATCTCTTTTTTTTTTTTTTTTTGAGACAGAGTTTCACTCTTGTTGCCTAGGCTGGAGTACAATGGTGAGATCTTGGCTCACCGCAACCTCTGCCTTCCGGGTTGAAGCGTTTCTCCTGCCTCAGCCTCCCAAGTAGCTGGGATTACAGGCATGCATGACCATGCCTGGCTAATTTTGTATTTTTAGTAGAAATGGAGTTTCTCCATGTTGGTCAGGCTGGTCCCGAACGCCCAACCTCAGGTGATCTGCTCCCCTTGGCCTCCCAAAGTGCTAGGATTACAGGTGGAGGTTGCAGTGAGCCAAGATCATGCCATTGCACTCCAGCCTGGGCAAGGAGAGTGAAACTCTGTCTCAATAAGTAAATACATAAATAAATCTAGAGAGGGTATGTAATTTTGTTACATGCATAAATTGTATAGTGGTGAAGTCAGGGCTTTTGGGGTATCCATCACCCCAATAAGGTACATCATAGCCATTAAGTAATTTCTCATCACCCTACCACATCTGCTCTGTCATTCCACTCTCTACATCCACATGAACACATTTTTTAGCACCCATGTATGAGTAAGAACATGCAATATTTGACTGTGTGTCTGACCTGTTTCACTTAAGATAATGACCTCCAGTTCCATCCCTGTTGCAGCAAAAGACATGATTTCACGGCTCAAAGATTTTTTTTTATGGCTGTGTGGTATTGCGCTGTGTATATGTACCACATTTTCTTTAGCCAGTCCTCTGTGGATGGACATTTAGGCTGATTTCTTATCTTTGCTATTGCGAGTAGTGCTGTGATAAACCTACAAGTGCAGGTATCTGTTTGTTTGTTTGTTTGTTTGTCTGTTTTGAGACAGAGTCTTGCTCTATTACCCAGGCTGGAGTGCATGGCGTGATCTCAGCTCACTGCAACCTCCATCTCCCGGGTTCAAGCAATTCTTGTGCCTCTGTCTTCTGAGTAGCTGGGATTACAGGCACCTGCCACCACGCCTGGCTAATTTTTGTATTTTATATTAGAGATGGGATTTCACCATGTTGGCCAGGCTAGTCTCAAACTCCTGACCTCAAATGATCTGTCCACCTTGGCCTCTCAAAGTGCTGGGATTACATGCTTAGCCACCATGCCCAGCCAGGAGTCTTTTTGATATATTGATTTCTTTTTTTTTTTTTTTTTTGAGTATATGCCCAGTAGTAGGATTGCTGGATCAAATGATAGTTCTATTGTTTAGTTATTTGAGAATTTTTTTTTTTTTTTGAGACAGAATCTTACTCTGTCGCCCAGGCTTGAGTGCAGTGGCGCGATCTCGGCTCACTGCAAGCTCCGCCTCCCAGGTTCACGCCATTCTCCTGCCTCAGCCTCCCGAGTAGCTGGGACTACAGGTGCCCACCACCATGCCTGGCTAATTTTTTGTATTCTTAGTAGAGACAGGGTTTCACTGTATTAGCCAGGATGGTCTCAATCTCCTGACCTCATGATCTGCCCGCCTCGGCTTCCCAAAGTGCTGGGATTACAGGCGTGAGCCACCGCGCCCGGCCTATTTGAGAAATGTTCATACTGTTTTCCATAGAGGTCGAACTAATTTACACTCTGACCAGCAGTGTACAAGCGTTCCCTTTTCTCAGCATTTTCATCAACATCTGTTATTAAATATTTTTTTGTCTTTTTTTTTTTTTTGAGACGGAGTCTCTCTGTCACCCCGGCTGGAGTGCAGTGGTGCGATCTCGGCTCACTGCAAGGTCCGCCTCCCGGGTTCACGCCATTCTCCTGCCTCAGCTTCCGGAGTAGCTGGGACTACAGGCGCCTGCCACCACGCCCAGCTAATTTTTTGTATTTTTAGTAGAGGTGGGGTTTCACCGTGTTAGCCAGGATGGTCTTGATCTCCTGACCTCGTGATCCGCCCGCCTCAGCCTCCCAAAGTGCTGGGATTACAGGCGTGAGCCACTGTGCCCGGCGTATCTTTTAAATAATAGTCAATAGGAACACACTTTAATGATCTACTGCATGGGATGATGGCCATAGTTAGCAATCATGTATATTTAAATATTGCTAACAAAGCCTTTTTTTTTTTGAGACAGGGTCTCACTCTGTCCCCCAAGCTGGTGTGCAGTGGTGTGATCATAGCTCACTGCTACCTCTCCCTCCCTGGTTCAGGTGATCCTCCTGCCTCAGCCTCCTGAGTAGCTGGGACTACAGGTGCATGCCACCAGACCTGGCTAATTTTTGTATTTTTTTTTTTTTTGAGTTTGAGTTTCATTCTTATTGCCCAGGCTGGAGTGCAATGGCGCAATCTCGGTCACCGCAACCTTTGCCTCCTGGGTTCAAGCGATTCTCCTGCCTCAGCCTCCTGAGTAGCTGGAATTAACAGGTATGCACCACCACACCTGGCTAATTTTGTATTTTTAGTAGAGACAGGGTTTCTCCATGTTGGTCAGGCTGTTCTTGAACTCCCGACCTCAGGTGATCCACCCGCCTTGGCCTCCCAAAGTGCTGGGATTACAGGTGTGAGCTACCATGCTGGGCTAATTTTTGTATTTTTTGTAGAGTTGGGGTTTTACTGTGTTTCCCTAGCTTGTCTCAAACTCCTGGGCTCAAGCTATCCACCCACCTCAGCCCCACAAAGCGCTAGGATTACAGGCATGAGCCACCTCGTCCAGCCTAATAGAGCCTATTTTAAACATTCTCGTCTCCCCAAAAAGTGCTAAGTAGGTGATGTGATAGATATGTTAATTAGCTTGATTTATGGCTGGGCACGATGGCTTACGCCTGTAATCTCAGCACTTTGGGAGGCCAAGGTGGGCGGATCATCTGGGGTCAGGAGTTTGAGACCAGACAGGCCAACATGGCAAAATCCCGTCTCTACCAAAAGTACAAAAAAATTAGCCAGGCATGGTAGCGCATGCCTGTAATCCCAGCTACTCAGGAGGCTAAAGGAGGAGAATCTCTTGAACCCGGGAGGTGGAGGTTGCAGTGAGCCGAGATCGTGGCACTGCACTCCAGCCTGGGTGACAGAGCGGAGCTCCTTCTCAAACAAAAACAAAAACAAAAATTAGCTTGATTTAATCTGTCTACAATGTGTTCACGGATCAAAATATCACATTGTACTCTGTAAATATATACAATATGTGTCAGTTAACCTTTTTTTTTAAGTAGATTAGAAATGTTTTAATTAAATTGTCAACATCTTAGGGAATTTTTGTTAACTCTGAAGATTTCACATGACTAGCTAGATATTTGGTTATTGCAGTGTCTGCAGCACTGGGGAGAGTGTGTCCACCGGGGTCATTTTTTGGGGCTCAGATTTTCCTGAAATGCCCTCATCCAGGGTCCAGCTCAGCTCCATCCTCACCTTCTTCCTCTACCCACTCAGAACATCTTGGTTTCCCCTCTCCTTGAAATAGTTTGTGGATTTTTGCCAGGCGCACTGGCTCATGCCTGTAATCCCAGCACTTTGGGAGGCCTAGGCAGGCAGATCACCTGAGGTCAGGCGTTCGAGACCAGCCTGGCCAACATGGTGAAACTCCGTCTCTACTAAAAATACAAAAATTAGCCGGGTGTGGTGGTGTGCGCCTGTAGTCCCAGCTATTCAGGAGGCTGAGGCAGGAGAATCGCTTGAACCTGGGAGGCGGAGGTTGCAGTGAGCCAAGATCGCACCACTGCACTTCAGCCTAGGTGACAGAGCGAGACTCTGCCTCAAAAAAAAAAAAAAAAAAAAAAGCTTGAGGGTTTTTTCCGAAGTAACAGCTCTCTTCTAGATATTAGTTAAGAAGTCCAGGTGGAGTGTGGTGGCTCACACCCATAATCCCAGCACTTCAGGAGGGCGAGGCAGGAGGATTTGCTTCAGCCCAGGAGTTGGAGACCAGCCTAGCCAACATGGCAAAACTCCATCTCTTCAAAAAATACAAAAATTAGCCAGGCATGGTGGGGTGCACCTGTAGTCCCAGCTACTCATGAGGCTGAGGTGGGAGGATGGCTTAAGCCTGGGAGGTCGAGGTTGCATAGAGCTATGATAACACCACTGCACTCCAGCCTGGGTGACAGAGGGAGACCCTGTCTCAAAAAACAAAAACAAAAGGAATGCCCAGTGGCAGGTTCACTTACTATTATGAAATCCAAACAGAAAAGTCCAACTTCTTTGATTCTGCAGAGGTCAATAAGAGCCTCTTTGAAGTGACTTCACATAAGCAACAAAAATTCATTTGGAGTTCGGGCGCAGTGGTGCACGCCTGTAATCCTACACTTTGGGAGGCCGAGGTGGGAGGATTGCTTGAGGCCAAGAGTTCAAGACCAGCCTGGCCAACACAGCAAGACCTCACCTCTATAAAAGAAAAAACAATTGAAAAAAAAAAGAAGGCCGGGCGCGGTGACTCACGCCTGTAATCGCAGCACTTTGAGAGGCTGAGGTGGGTGGATCATGAGGTAAGGAGTTCGAGACCAGCCTGGCCAACGTGGTGAAACCCCATCTCTACTAAAAATACAAAAATTAGCCAGGTGTGTTGGCACACACCTGTAATCCCAGCTACTCAGGAGGCTGAGGCAAGAGAATCACTTGAACCTAGGAGGCGGAGGTTGCAGTGAGCCGAGATTGCGCCCGTGCGTTCTAGCCCGGGTGACAGTGCGAGACTCCATCTCAAAATAATAATAATAATAAGTAAAAATAAAAAAAATTTATTTGGAAAAGTGAAGGCCTCCATCCTCCACAAAAACAGGGAAGTCAATGAAGTGGACATGAGTCAGTTGGTGTGTGGCATTTGTATCAGCTATCATCGTGTAACAAATTACTCCAAAATGAATGGGCTCAAAACAACATTTATTATCTACAGTTCCAGTGGGCCTGGACTCTGGGCTGGGTTTTCTGCCTCAAGGTCTCTCCTAGGCTGGTATCCAGATGTCATCCAAGGCTGTCCTCACTGTAAGGATCAGCTAGGGGAGGACTGACATCTAAGCTCCCTGTTGGCAGGATTTAGTCCCAGTGGCTATTAGATTAAGGCCCTCAGTGTCAGCCGGGTGTGATGGCTCAGGCCTGTAATCCCAGCACTTTGGGAGGCGAGGCGGGTGGATCACCTGAGGTTGGGAGTTTGAGACCAGCCTGACCAACATGGAGAAACCCCACCTCTACTAGAAATACAAAATTACTGAGCGTGGTGGTGCATGCCTGTAATCCCAGCTACTCGGGAGGCTGAGGCAGGAGAATGGCTTGAACCCAGGACGGGGAGGTTGCAGTGAGCTGAGATCAAGCCATTGCACTCCAGTCTGGGCAACAAGAGCAAAACTCCGTCTCAAAAACAAACAAACATACAAACAAAAAGAAAAAATTAGCCGGATGTGGTGGCACGTGCCTGTGGTCTCAGCTGTTCGGGAGCTGGGGCAGAAGAATCACTTGAACCTGGGAGGTGGAGGTTGCAGTGAGCGGAGATCGCACCACTGCACTCCAGCCTGGGCGACAGAGCGAGACTCTGTCTCAAACAAAACAAAACAAAACAAAACAAAACCAAACAAAACCCTCAGTGTCATTGCCACGCGGCTTTCTCCCAGGAGGCCACTTGTTTTTTCAAAGCATGCAAGCCAAGAAGGAGCTAGATGGAGTGCAGTGAGATGGAAATCGCAGTCTTTTGTAACCTAATCACAAAAGTGACACACCATTGCTTTTGCCGGTTTCTGTTCCTTAGAACGGAGTCATTAGGTTCAGCCCACACTGGAGGCAAGGCATATTAGGCCATTCTCGCATTGCTGTAAAGAAATACCTGAGACTGGGTAATTTATTTCTTTATTTCTTATTTTTATGTATTTATTTTTTTTGAGACGGAGTTTCGCTCTTGTTGCCCAGGCTGGAGTGCAATGGCATGATCTCAGCTCACTGCAACCTCCGCCTCCCGGGGCTCAAGCGATTTTCCTGCCTCAGACTCCAGAGTAGCTGGGATTACAGGCATGCACCACCATGCCTGGCTAATTTTGTATTTTTAGTAGAGACAGGCTTTCTCCATGTTGGTCAGGCTGGTCTCAAACTCCTGACCTCAAGTGATCTGCCCGCCTCAGCCTCCCAAAGTGTTGGGATTACAGGCGTGAGCCACCAGGCCCGGCCTATTTTTTTAATTTTGTGAGACAGAGTCTTGCTCTGTTGCCCAGGCAGGAGTGCAGTGGCGAGACCTCAGCTCACTGCAAGCTTCACCTCCTGGGCTCAAGTGATTCTCCTGCCTCAGCCTTCTGAGTAGCTGGGATTACAGGCACGCGCCACCACGCCTGGCTAATTTTTGTATTTTTAGTAGAGACGGAGTTTCACCGTGTTGGCCAGGCTGGTCTCAAACTCCTGAGCTCAAGTGATGTCCTCTCCTTGGCCTCCCAAAGTGCTGAGATTACAGGCATGAGCCACTCCACCTGGCCAACACTACCCATCTTTTAGGCATCCAACCTCAGGTTGCATGGAGCCCCAGATTAGAGTCAACTCCCTCCTTGTGGGTCCAACCCACTGTTGTCACCTAAGGGGCATGGACCTATTTCTTATTCATCACCCACCTCGGCAATGTCACTCTGAGCCCCCTGGGGGCAGGGGCTGTAACCCTCAGTCACTGTCACGTCCTCATACCTGACACTTTCCCTGGTACCTGTCAGCCCCTGGCAAAAATCTGACAGTGTGAACTGAGTCATTGCCCCCTCTTCTCCCGCCCCACTACCAGCTCCTTTACTGCTATTTACAGCGTGTTTTAATTTCCTAGGGCTGCAGTGACAAAGTACCACAGACTAGGTGACTTCAACAACAGAAATTTAGTGTCTCACTGTTCTGGAAGCCAGAAGTCCGGGATCAAGGTGTGGACAGGGTTGGTTCCTTCTGGGGCTGTGGAGGGAAGGATCTGTCCTATGTCTCTCTCCCAGCGTCTGGTTGTTTGCTAACTTTATTTTTTTTTTGAGACAGAATCTCACTCTGTTGCCCAGCTGGAGTGCAGTGGAGCGATCTTGGCTCACTGCAACCTCTGCCTCCCAGGTTCAATGATTCTCCTGCCTCAGCCTCCTCAGTAGGTGGAATTGCAGGTGCCCACCACGATGCCCAGCTAATTTTTGTATTTTTAGTAGAGATGGGGTATTGCCATGTCAGCCAGGCTGGCCTCCTGGCCTCGAGCCATCCTCCCACCTCGGCCTCCCAAAATGCTGAGATTACAGGTGTGATCCACCACGCCCGGCCTTATTTGCTGACAATCTTCAAGTTTCCTTGGCTTGTGGATACCTCACTCCAATCTTTGCCGTCATCTTCATATGGGCTTATCTCTGTGTATGTCTGTCTTGGTGCCCAAATTTCCTCCCCAACCTTTTTTTTTTTTTGAGATGGAGTCTCACTCTGTCACCCAGGCTGGAGTGCAATGGCATGGTCTTGGCTCACTGCAACCTCCGCCTCCCGGGTTCAAGCGATTCTCCTGCCTCAGCCCCCTCCCCAAGTAGCTGGGACTATAGGCACGTACCACCACGCCTGGCTAATTTTTGTATTTTTAGTAGATATGGGGTTTCACCATGTTGGCCAGGCTGGTCTCTAACTCCTGACCTCGTGATCCACCCACCTCGGCCTCCTAAAGTGCTGGGATTACAGGCGGGAGCCACCACACCCGGCCTCAAATTTCCCCTTTTTAAGGGGACACCAGTCCTATTGGATTAGAGCCCACCCTGGTAGCCTCGTTTCCAATATTTCTAAATAAGGTCACATTCTGAGAGGTACTGGGCATTAGGACATCAACGTCTATTTTTCAGGGGGACACAATTCAAACCATGGGGCTTCTGGCTTCAGAGTCACCCATACTTGAGACCATAATTATCTTTGCCTCTACCCTTTACATAATTCAGTAAATATGGAGAGATGGACTTAATAAGTATAATAGGGGATTGAGCTGAGGGCTGGAGACCCCACAGCAAGTCCTGGCGGGCATCTTAATCCTGCTTTTAAGATTTACAATCAGGAAAGAGCAGGTGTGCTTTTTAAAAAGAAAAATTATTTTTGGACAAGATCTTGCCCCGTCACCCGGGCTGAAGTGAGGCATGGTAATGGCTCACTGCAGCCTTGAACTCTTAGGCTCAAACAATCTTCCCACCTCAGCCTCATGAGTAGCTGATAGTACAGGTGTGCACCAACATGCTTGGCTAATTTTTTTTTTTTCTTTGAGACAGAGTCTCACTCTGTCGCCCAGGCTGGAATGCAGTGGCATGATCTTGGCTCACTGCAACTTCCACCTCCTGGGTTCAAGTGATTCTCCTGCCTCAGCCTCCCGAGAAGCTGGGTTTACAGGTGCATACCACCACACTCAGCTAATTTTTGTATTTTTAGTAGAGACAGGGTTTTGCCATGTTGGCCAGGCTGGTCTCGAACTCCTGACCTTGTGATCCATCCACCTTGGCCTCCCAAAGTGCTGAAATTACAGGTGTGAGCCACCGCACCCGGCCGCCCGGCTAATTTTTTAACTTTCTGTAGAGATGGGGGTCTTGCTATGTTGCCCAGGCTGGTCTCAAACTTCTGGGTTCTACTGATCCTCCCACCTCGGCTCTCCAAAGTGCTGGGATTACAGGCATGAGCCACCGTGCCAGCCCAGATGTGCCTTTGAAACCTCTGTTTTTCAGGTTCCATTGCCTGGGGAGGATAAAAGCAAACAGATTTAGTAATTGCAAATAATTGCAAGAAAATATTTCCTTGGCCCTGCCCCACTCCTGCTTTTCTGAAGTCTCTCAAAGTCTCCCCCAGGGTGACTGCAGGTGTCTCGCACCCTCTCACAGATAAACATGCTTGATGCCACTTCACCAGCTTTGCTGGAAGGGCACCGGGAGTCCTCATTTCAGCCTCACAGCAATGCTGCAAAGTAGGTGCTGTCATTACCCATTTCAAATGCACAAAACACTGAAGTCACTGCCCAAGACGGCACACCTGGGAACTGGTGGAGTTGTCATTTTTTTTTCTTTCTTTTCTTTTTTTTTTTTGAGACGGAGTCTCCTCTGTCGCCCAGGCTGGAGTGCAGTGTGCGATCTCGGCTCACTGCAAGCTCCACCTCCCGAGTTCAAGCAATTCTCCTGCCTCAGCCTCCTGAGTAGCTGGGATTACAGGCACCCGCCACCACAACCAGCTAAGTTTTGTATTTTTAGTAGAGACGGTGTTTCACCATGTTGGCCAGGCTGGTCTCAAACTCCTGACTTTGTGATCCACTGGCCTTGGCCTCCCAAAGTGCTGGGATTACAGGTGTGAGCCACTGCGCCCGGCCTATCATTCCCATCTTTATGTCTGTGTGTACTCAGTGTTTAGCTCCTTAGAGGTGAAAACACGTGGTATTTGGTCTTCTGTTTTGCATTAATTCACTTAGAATAATGGTCTTTGATTTAAACCCAGTGTGTCTGGTTCCCTAGCTTGTGCTTAAAACCCCACCTCAATAAATCATTAGCCCAGGTTGATGGGACAGAAAGCAGGTCAGAAGAAGGAAGGGCATAGCCATGTGAGAAGTGAAGCCCTTTGGGGATTTGAACTCAGGTGAATCTGACTTCAAAGCCATGTATACTCTTATTTTCCCCCTTTTGAAGGTGAAATTAGAATTTGTATGCAGTAACATGCAAAAATGCAAGGGATTTCCCCCAAAATCTTATCATAAAAAATTCAAACATAGAAATAATTTTGCAGGCCAGGTGCAGTGGCTCATGCCTGTAATCCCAGCACTTTGGGTGGGGGTCAAGGTGGGAGGATCACTTGAGCCCAGGAGGTCAAGGATGCAGTGAACTATGATTGTGTCACTGCACTCAGAGCCCGGGTGACAGAGTGAGACCCTGTCTCACAAAAGAAGAAAGAAGAAGGAGGAGGACGAGGAAGGAAGGAAGAAGGAAGAAGAGGAAGAGGTTTCAGAAAGAGAAAGAGAGAAAGAAAGAAAGAAAAAGAAAGAGAGAGACAGAAAGAAAGAAAGAAGAAAGAAAGAGAAAGAAAGAAGAAAGAAAAGAAGGAAGAGGAGAAGGAGAAGAAGAAGGAGAAGAAGGAGAAGGAGGAGGAGGAAGAGGCGGCGGCGGTGAAGCAGGAGGAGAGTAGTTCCAGATTAGGCTGGGCAATGGAGCGAGACCTTATTTCTACAAAAAAGTAAAAAATTAGCTGGGCGTGGTAGTGCATGCTTGTAGTCCCAGCTACTTAGGAGGCTGAGATGGGAGGATTGCTTGAGCCCAGGAGGTCAAGGGTGCAGTGAACTATGATTGTGCCACTGCACGCCACAGACTGGGCAACATAGCAAGACCTTGTCTCTAAAAGTAAATAAATAAATAAATATAAAAGTAAACAAAAAGTTCTTCACGCAGAGCATTAACTAGAGGTCAGTATTCACGTATAGAATTTTATCTTTTGAGGTCAAGTTTATACTCAATTAAATGCACAGACCTCAAGTGTACGTTGGCTAAGTTTGGACAAATGCAAACATCTGTCTAACCCAAATCCCTACTAAGATATAGAACATCAGCATCACCACAGAAAGATATAGAATACTATCCTCCTCTATTTTTCCCTTTATATGGAGGTATAATTTATACTCACGAAAATCCACACATCTTAAGTGCTCAATAAACTGTTCTGAGAGCCATAGCTTTTAGCCACCGGACTATACTTGAAGTCATGTCTCTTCTTGATAACCGGACTTTTCTTTAGTCTAGACTCTTTTGGCCGGGCACAGCGGCTCATGCTTGTAATCCCAGCACTTTGGGAGGCCGAAGAGGGCAGACCACCTGAGGTCAGGAGTTTGAGACCAGCCTGGCCAACATGGTGAAACCCTGTCTCTACTAAACACACAAAAAATTACCTGGGCATGGTGGCGGGTGCCTGTAATCCCAGCTACTCAGGAGGCTGAGGCAGGAGAATTGCTTGAACCCGGGAGGCGGAGGTTGCAGTGAGCCGAGATCATGCCACTGCACTGTAGCTTGGAGGGCAGAGTGAGACCCTGTCTCAAAAAAAAAAAAAAAAAAAGACTCTTTGGTATTGACATCAATCAGTGGTTCTCAATTAGGAGAGATTTTGCCCCCAGGGGACAGTTGGCAATATCTGGAGACATTCTGGTTGTCATACCTGGGAAGTGGAGTGAGGCTGAGGCAGGAGAATAGCTTGAACCCAGGAGCTGGAGGTTGCAGTGAGCTGCAATCGCACCACTGCACTCCAGCCTGGGTGACGGAGCGAGACTCCATCTCAAAACAAAAATGAAAACAAAACAAAGGGGTACAGAAAATACAAGGCATCTGCTTTGTTCATCTCTCTTTTTTTGTTTGTTTTGTTTTAAGAGATGGGGTCTCGCCCTGTCACCCAGGCTGGAGTGCAGTGGTGTGATCATAGCTCACTGCAGCTTCCAACTCCTGGGCACAAGCGATCCTCCTTTCTCAGCCTCTCAAGTAGCTGGGACTACAGGTAACACTGTGCCTGTCTAAATTTTTTATTTTTTTATTTTGTAGAGACAGGATCTCACTATGTTGCCCAGGCTGGTCTTGAACTCCTGGGCTCAAATAATTCTCCTGTCTCAGCCTCCCAAATAGCTAGGACTTCAGGCTGGTGCCACCACACCTGGCTAAGTTTTTTATTTGTTTAGAGATGGGGTCTCACGATGCTACCCAGTCTGGTCTTGAACTCCTGGCCTCAAAGAGATCCTCTAGCATCAGCCTCCTGAATCTTGTTCTCCTCTCTCTCTCTCTCCTTTTCTCTTTTTTTCCTTTGAGACAAGGTCTTGCTCTGTTGCCCAGGCTGGCGTGCAGTGGTGCGATCTCGGATCACTGCAACCTTCATTTCCTGGACTCAAGCAATCCTCCCACCTCAGCCTTCCGAGTAGCTGGGACTACAGGCACACACCACAAAACCTGGCTAATTTTTTTTTCGTTGTTTCCTTTAATTAACATCTAAATAGATTACACATCTTCTATAATTATAATATGGAAATGTATACGAGCAAAATATACAAATTTTTTGGTAAATGCCTAGGGAAGAATGGTGTCAGTCAAGTTCATCCAAGGTCTTAAGCAGCAGCATCTATGCAGCCAGGGTGTGCTGAGCGTTTGGGGACAGAGGTAAATATCCGCAATCCATGCATCACTTTGATTTCTTCTTGTAGTGACTGATTCACTATTTGGTGCTGCTGAATAGTTCTCTCCTCCTTAACTTCTTCTGATTCAATTTTAATTTCATACATGACCCCACAACCTCTTGAAATGTCAGTGACTTTGATAGCTGTAGCTCGAGGAAACTTTTCTTTTTTCTTTTTTTCCTTTTTTTTTTTTTTTTTGACGTTGTCTCACTCTGTCACCCAGGCTGGAGTGCAGTGGCACCATCTCGGCTCACTGCAACCTCTGCCTCCCAAGCTCAAGCGATTCTGTCTCACCCTCCCGAGTAGCTGGGATTACAGGTGCCCGCCACCATGCCTGGCTAATTTTTGTATTTTTAGTAAAGACGGGGTTTCACCATGTTGGCCAGGCTGGTCTTGAACTCCTGACCTCGTGATTCACCCGACTTCGCCTCCCAAAGTGCTGGAATTACAGGCGTGAGCCACCGCGCCCGGTGAGGAAACTTGTTTTGAGAATTTGGGTCATTCTGAGCTCCCCCTCAGTCTGGGAGGCAAACATCCAATGGACACAGTGAAGAGGATGCCCACGGATCGCGGAGCAGAGGTGCTGCGGCGGCCGGGCTCCATGCTGCTATGCCCGGCCCACCTAATTAAAAAAAAAATTTTTTTTTGTAGAAACGGGGTCTCACTATGTTGCCCACGCTGGTCTTGAACTCCTCCCAGGCTCAAGCAATCCTCCAGTCTCAACCTCCCAAAGGGTTGGGATTACAAGCATGAGCCGCCACACCCGGCCTTGTTCTTCTCTTCTCTTTTTTTTTTTTTTGAGATCCTTGCTCTGTCACCCAGTCTGGAGTGCAGTGGGCCGATCTCGGCTCACTGCAACCTCTGCCTTCCAGGTTCAAGTGATTCTCCTGCCTCAGCCTCCCAAGTAGCTGGGATTACAGGCATGCGCCACCACGCCCGGCTAATTTTTTGTGTCTTTAGTAGAGACGGGGTTTCACCATGCTGGCCAGGCTGGTCTCGATCTGCTGACCTCAGGTGATCTGCTCCCCTTGGCCGTCCAAAGTGTTGGGATTACAGGCGTGAGCCACTGCGCCCGGCCTTGTTCCTTCTCTTTATCCCCAGCGCTTGGTCCCTGGTGAATGGTCAATATATGAATAAATCATTCAACAAACTTTTTTTTTTTTGTCTGTGTGACACACCTATCATAGTCAGGTACCCTCTTCATATTCACACACTAGAGAGAGTTATAAGAGATGAAAACACAGATACGCGATCCTGTGGTCAAACGATTTTACAAGGAAGTTACAAGGTGCTTTGGGAACAGGGCGGGGAGCTCTGCTTTCTGTCTGGGGAGGGAGGTAGGGGAGGCCTGGAGAGAATTAGGGGACACAGAATCAGGTAAAGGGAAGGAGGGTAATTCCGGCACAGGGAACGGCCGAGGCAAAGGCTTCGGGGTGAGAAGCGAAGTCATACGTTAGTCCAATGCAGGCCGGGTCCCGGCTCAAGGTGGGCCTTCAACGCCAGGCTGCAGCGTTTGGACTTGGTCCCGAGGGCGGTGAGAAGGCACTGAAGAATTCGGACCGGGGCGGGGCATGGCCGGTGTTGCATTTTTGAAAGGTCACTCTGTTGGCTGGGCGGGCGGAGGGGAACTGGAGGAGGGTGGAGCTGGTGGTAGAAGATGAATATGAGTAAAGAAGCTATTTCGGGAAGGCAGGCAGAGAGAGAGGATGAGGGCATGAACAGAGGTGAGGCAGTGGGCCGAGTCATTACTTAGAAGGGGTCGAGCACTGTGGCTCACGCCTGTAATCCCAGCACTCTGGGAGGCTGAGTCGGGTGGATCACTTAAGGTCAGGAGTTCAAGACCAGCCTGGCCAACGTGGTGAAACCCCATCTCTACTAAACACACACACACACACACACACACACACACACACACACACACTAGCCAGGCATAGTGGCGCACGCTTGTAATCCCAGCTACTCAGGAGGTTGAGACAGGAGAATCACTTAAACCTGGGAGGCAGAGGTTGCAGTGAGCCGAGATTGGCCCACTGCACTCCAGCCTGGGTGACAGAGCAAGACTTCGTCTCAAAAAAAAAAAAAAAACAACTTTTTGTTGCAATGTAACAGACACAAGTAAAGTGTGCACAAAATGCCTGAATCTTAAGTGCGTGTCAATGAATTTTTACATATGTGTAACCATTGCACACCACGATGTAAAATGTTCCCTTCCTCTATTATTTTTTTTAATTTTAATTTTATTTTTTGAAACGGAGTCTCATACTAGCACCCAGGCTGGAGTACAGCGAGGCAGTCATGGCTTACTTCAGCCTCAACCTCCTGGGCTCAAGCAGTCCTCATGTCTCAGCCTCCAGGGTAGCTGGCACGACAGATGTGCACCACCACTCCTGGCTAATTTTTTTTTTTATTATTTTTAGTGGGGCCATCTCACTATGTTGCCCAGGCTGGTCTCGAACTCCTGAGCTCAAGTGATCCTCTTGCCTCAGCCTCCCAAAGTCCTGGGATTACAGACATAAGCCACCTGCGGCCCATTTTTTCTAGAACAGGATTTCTCAGCCTTGGCGCTTTTGACATTAGAAGCTGGGTAATACTTTGTTGTAAGGGGCTGTCCTGTGTGTTGTAGGATGTTTAGCAGCATCTCTGGCCTCCACCTATTAGACACCAGTAGCACCCCTTCTCTCTCAGTTAAAACAACATCTTTAGACGTTGCCAAATGGCAGCTGGGAGGCACAATTGCCCTCACTTGAAAACCACTGCTGGCCGGGTGCGGTGGCTTACGCCTGTAATCCCAGGACTTTGGGAGGCCGAGGCGGGCAGATCACGAGGTCAGGACATCAAGACCATCCTGGCTAACACGGTGAAACCCTGTCTCTACTAAAAATACAAAAAATTAGCCAGGTGTGGTGGCAGGCGCCAGTAGTCCCAGCTACTGGGGAGGCTGAGGCAGGAGAATCACTTGAACCCGGGAGGCAGAGCTTGCAGTGAGCTGCGATCACGCCACTGCCTCCAGCCTGAGCGACAGAGTGAGACTCCGTCGCAAAAAAAAAAAAGAAAAGAAAACCACTGCTGTAGAAAGCTCCTTCAAACCCCTTTTCCAGACAGACAGTGCCCCCATCCTCAGAACACCCTTTTTTTTTTTTTTTTTTTTTTTTGAGGTGGAGTCTTGCACTGTTTCCCAGGCTGGAGTGCAATGGTGCAATCTTGGCTCACTGCAGCCTCCGCCTCCCGGGTTCGAGCAATTCTCCTGCCTCAGCCTCCTGAGTAGCTGGGATTACAGGTGCACGCCATCATGCCCAGCTAATTTTTTTTTTTTTTGTATTTTTAGTAGGGATGGGGTTTCACTATGTTGGCCAGGCTGGTGTCGAACTCCTGACCTCGTGATCTGCCCGCCTTAGCCTTCCAAAGTGCTGGGATTACAGGCATGAGACATCACGCTCCACCTCAGAACACTCTTTTGGCTTCTTTCCCCTCAATTCCTCTTGCCTGTCCTTGAACACATTGCAAATGGAAACATACAGGGCCCAGCTGTGCAATCTTGTGTGAGTTATGTAATTTCTTTGTGCCTCAGTTTCCACCACTGTAAAATGGGTCAATGAAACGCACCACTTCACAGAGAAACCTCGAGAATGAAGAGCCATTCACTTCTGGGAAGGGCGTGGCTCAGAGAAAATATTGAACTCACGTCATTTGTGGATGCTGTGATTTAATGTCAGTGTCCTTTCTTCTGGTTTCGCGGATGGATGCCTGGGAAACACTAAGTTCTCGGTAAACACTTTTAGGGTCATGTTCATTTCTTCTACTGTGGGGATTTGAACCTAGACTACCTCCAGCTCCCCTGTCATTCCCTTGTGATTTTTTTTTTTTTTTTTTTAGAGAGATGGGGTCTCACTATATTGCCCAGACTGGTCTCGAACTCCTTGCCTCAAGCAATCCTCCCATCTCGGCCTCCCAAAGTGCTGGGATTACAGGCATGAGCCACCATGCCTGGCTTTTTTTTTTTTTTTTTTTTTTTTTGAGACAAGGTCTCACTCTGTCACCCAGGCTGGATGGAGTGCAGAGGTGTGATCTTGGCTCACTGCAGTCTCCACCTCCCAGGCTCAGGCCATCCTGCCACCTCAGGCTCCTGAGTAGCTGAGACTACAGGTGAGCACCACCATGCCTGGCTAATTTTTGTATTTTATTTTTTGTAGATATGGAGTCTCATTATGTTGCCCAGGCTGGTCTCAAACTCTTGGGCTCAAGCAATCCTCTAGGCTCGGCTTCCCAAGGTGCTGGGATTACAGGCATAAGCCACCATGCCCAGTGTCCCCTGTGACTTCTAAGCCTGACAATCCAGGCTGGTCTGTTCTCCTACGTGGAAACCCCCATCTTATTAAGAAATGCCAACAGCTTTTCTGAGTTTCCTCTAGTTCCACCTTTTCCATGATGTTTGCCCTGGGAGACTCTCCCGTGCCATTGAAATCCACTCCCTGGCCGGGTGCGGTGGCTCACGCCTGTAATCCCAACACTTTGGGAGGCTGAGGCAGGTGGATCACTTGAGGACGGGAGTTCGAGACCAGCCTGGCCAACATGGGGAAACCCCGTCTCTACCAAAAATACAAAAGTGAGCCGGACATGGTGGCAGGTGCCTGTAACCCCAGCTACTCGGGAGGCTGAGGCAGGAGAATCGCTTGAACCCAGGAGGCAGAGGTTGCAGTGAGCCGAGATGACACCACTGCACTCCAGCCTGGGTGACAGAGCAAGGCTCCGTCTCAAAAAAAGAAAAAAAAAAAAGCTCAGACAAACAAACCCCACTGCACCTTGCTGTTTAGTGATAACTGTGGGTTTCTCCTCCTGCTCTCTGACCCTGCCTCCTCTGTCTCCGCCACTTATCTCTCTCCCTTTTCTCTACTCAGCAGCGTCCCTCAGCCCTCTGTCTCACTCGGCCAGCACCACCCAGCCCTGACGTCTCTTCTTTGCCCCTAGCGATGTTATCACATAAGCAAAGCTGGCTCAGGCCGGGTCAGTCTGGGGATAGCAGGAGACAGAGGTTGCCTTGCTTCGTCTTTGATTCTGCTGTGGTCCTCTCCATTTTCCCACAAGGGGCAGGCAGACCTTTGAGAAGAGAGCACCCAGAAATCTGTACACTTCTCCCCCAGTTCCTTTTTTAAAAAACTTTTAGGTTCAAGGGTACATGGGAAGGTTTGTTACAAAGGTGAACTCATGTCACGGGGGTGTGTTGTACAAATTATTTCATCATCCAAGTTTTTTTTTAATTTTTAAAAAAATTTTTTTGAGACAGAGTTTTGCTCTTGTTGCCCAGGCTGGAGTGCAATGGTGTGATCTCGGCTCACTGCAACCTCCGTCTCCCGGGTTCAAGCGATTCTCCTGCGTCAGTCTCCCGAGTTCTGCGACTACAGGAATGCGCCACCATGCCTGGCTAATTTTAGTAGTTTTAGTAGAGATGGGGTTTCACCATGTTGGCCAGGCTGGTATCGAACTCCTGACTTCAGGTGATCCACCTGCCTTGGCCTCCCAAAGTACTGGGATTACAGGCATGAGCCACCGCACCCGGCCAATAGGTAATTTTTCAACCCTCACTCTTCCTCCTACCCTCCCTTTTTTTGGAGTTCCCAGTGCCTATTATTTCCATCTTTGTGTCCATGTATACTCATTGTTTAGCTCCCACTTTTAAGTGAGAACACATGGTATTTTACATCCTGTTTCTGAGTTATTTCACTTAGGATAATGACCTCCATCTCCACCATGTTGCTGCAAAGGACATGATTTCATTCTTTTTTATGGGTGTATAGTATTCCATGGCGTATACTTACCACATTTACTTTATTCATTCATCCACTGATGGACACTTATTCCACAACTTTGCTTTTGTGTATAGTACTGCAATAAACATACAGGTGCAAGTGTATTTTAGATAAGACAATTTCTTTTCCTTTGGGCAGATTTTTTTCCCTTTGAGCAGTAGTGGGATTGCTGGGTTGAATGGTAGTTCTATGTTTCATTCTTTGGGAAATCTTCATACTGTTTTCCATAGGGGCTGAACTAATTTACATTACCACCAACAGTCAGAGGCTATTTTATTTTATTTTTTTTGAGAGAGAGTCTTACTCTGTTGCCCAGGCTGGATCTCGCTCACTGCAACCTCCCCCTCCTAGGTTCAAGTGATTCTTCTGCCTCAGCCTCCTGAGTAGCTGGGATTACAGGCGTGCACCACCATGCCTGGCTAATTTTTTTGCATTTTTAGTAGAGATGAGGTTTCACCCTGATGGCCAGGCTGGTCTCGAGCTCCTGGCCTCAAGCAATCCACTTGCCTTGGCCTCCCAAAGTGCTGTGATTATAGGCGTGAGCCATTGCACCCGGCCTAATTTTTTAAAACATACTTTAAAAACATTTATTTATTTATTTATTTATAATTTCCACTTTTATTTTAGATTCAGGAGGTACAAATTATGTTCAGGTTTGTTACATGGGTATATTCTATGACGCTGAGGTTTGGGGTACGAATGCACCTGTCTCCCAGATACTATGCATAGTACTCAATAGGTGGGTTTTCAGCCCTAGCCCCGCCTCCTGCCTCCCACCTGTAGTACCCTCCAGTGTCTCTTGTTCCCATCTTCACATCCATACATATCCGTTGTTTACCTCACACTTATAAGTGAGAACGTGATTTTCTGTCCCTGGGTTATTCATTTAGGATAACAGGGCCAGGCACAGTGGCTCATGCTGGTAATCCCAGCACTTTGGGAGGCCGAGGTGGGTGGATCACTTGAGGTCAGGAGTTCAAGACCAGCCTGGCCAACATGGTGAAAGCCTGTCTCTACTAAAAAAAAAAATACAAAATTAGCCAGGCATGGTGATGCATGCCTGTAATCCTAGCTACTTGGGAGGCTGAGGCAGGAGAATCGCTTGAACCCGGGAGGTGGAGGTTGCAGTGAGCCGAGATCATGCCATTGCACTTTAGCCTGGGTGACAGAGCGAGACTCCATCCCCAAAAAACAAAACAAAATGAAACAAAAACCAAAACAAACAAAACAAAACAAAACAAAAACCAGGAGCTCTAATGACCTATCTGGAATCTAAACCCATTTTCCCAGATGCACTCCTTATAAGAATGGGCGACCCCTGGACCTAAGGCATGATGTACTATGGTGCTTAGGGATACTTGCTGCTGTGTGCTAGAGAAAGAGGATTTGCACTGCTTACTCGGGAAGAGCACTGGTTGTGGACTCCAGAGTCCTGGGGCCTGTTTCCAGTTCTGTCGCTGATCTTGCAGATTCTGGTGCTCTGTGTTTTTTTTTTTTTTTTTTGAAATGGAGTTTTGCTATTGTCTCCCAGGCTGGAGTGCAATGGCACGATCTCCGCTCACTGCAACCTCCACCTCCTGGGTTCAAGCAATTCTCCTGCCTCAGCCTCCCAAGTAGCTGGGATCGCAGGCGTGCACCACCATGCCCAGCTAATTTTGTATTTTTAGTGGAGACGGGGTTTCATCATGTTGACCAGGCTGGTCTCGAACTCCTGACCTCAGGTAATCCACCCGCCTCTGCCTCACAAAGTGCTGGGATTACAGGTGATACTCTTTTTAGGGGCCCAGTTTTCCCATCTCTGAGGTAGGCGAAATTGAATACAGTGATTGCCCAGAAAACTCACTGGCTTGCCTTCTGTTTCTCTGCGATGATTTTTCTTAAGTGAGGGACGGGTACCTTGAGAGAGAACTAGGGTGGGAGTTTGGACAAAACTTAGGCTCAACTTTCCCCTTCCAGCTTTCCTTTCTGTTGCTTCCAGCCACTGTCTCCTCCTTGGGAAACTCCCTTCCCTTCCCTTCTCTCCATCTCCCCTGGTCTGGAGGACTCCAGCCTATCTTTCCATCTTGATGCACGTGCCACCTCCTCCAGGAAGACTTCCCTGATTCCCTGCCCCCTCCCAGTCTGGGTTTGGCATCTCCCACCTACCTCTCATTTCCAGCTTGATCACCTGTACTTGTTCATTTATCTGTTTTGGCCAGATTGCCTGCCCAGGGTGTTTCCTGGGGCTCAAGGTATGTCTATGCTGAGAGGAAGGGCTACAGAGCAAGGAGAGAAGAGAAACGGTTAATAGGAAATTGAACAGAGCATAAGCCCCCAGGGGTTGCTGACAGACTTCCCTGGGCCATGAGCCCAGCCACAGGGCCATGGAGTTTGGCTCCAGGTACAAGACCCAGGAGAAGTGGTTGGCCCTGTGGGGGTGTCTGGCACGCTGAGGTCCAAATCCACTGCCTGCCTCCTTCACACTGGGCACCTGCAGGTGTCTCCTTATCTTGAAGATGGGTGATGACAGGCCGGGCACGGTGGCTCATGCCTGTAATCCCAGAGCTTTGGGAGGCCGAGGTGGGTGGATCTTAAGGTTAGGAGTTCGAAACCAGACTGGCCAACATGGCAAAAACCCATCTCTACTAAAAACACAAAAATTAGCTGGGCGTGGTGGCGCACACCTATAATCCCAGCTACTCGGGAGACTGAGGCAGGAGAATCTCTTGAACCCGGGAGGTGGCGGTTGCAGTGAGCCGAGATCACGTCATTGCACTCCAGCCTGGGTGACAGAGCGAGACTCTATCTCAAAAAAAAAAAAAAAAAAAGATGGGTGATATGGGTGATGATAAACCCACTTCCTCTGACTGTTAGAGGCTAGAGGGGTGGGGGGTCTCTTGAGTGCCTGGACAAAGGGGGACAGCAGGGGGGTGTCTTGAGGGGCATGGTACTTAAAAAACATCACCCTGCAATCTGTGCTGGGCCGATTTGAGGGGGAAGAGCCTACTTCTGAAATGACTATTGTCATCACCCAGGCCTGGGGTGAGAAGAAGCTGGTGGAGATTGCAGGGCTGGTGAGGAGGAGGAAGAACCCCCAATCCCCTCCCTGTACCCCACACCAGCCCCTTCCTTGCCTCTCTGCTGCTGTCAAGGGCAGCTGAAGAGCTTGACCGGGGAGTGAGGGACTGCAGCCCCGAGGTGGTTTTGTAGGACTCAGAGCGCGGCAGGAGTATAGCGGGTGTGGCTCTGTGGGGCTTTGGAAGGGTACGAGAAGGCCGGCCCTCAGCTCCCCTGGCAGCCAGGGAGTTCCTATGTGGGAATGCAGCCTCGCGTACACTCCTGAACATTCCAAAACCCTCCAGAGGCAGCTGTGCCTCCCCCAAGGAGGGTCCACCCAGCTCCAGTCTGGCGGTGCCAGTCCCTGCGCAGGAGGGGGTCAGGTAGAACCTGGGGACTTTGGAGAACGGGACAGGTCTATGCCTGGGTCCCTGTTTTCCTTCAAGCCCAGAGGGACCCCCAGTTTGGCAACAGACTCTGGAGTCAGGCTCTGTCCGCGGTGGGGGCTCCCTCGGGCCGCTGCTCTCGGAAGGTATCAGCCTGCAGGTGTCAGTCACTGAGTGCACTGAATCATGCCAGCTGACCTTTGCCAGGAAGGCACCCACTGCTTCCCTCTAGGGCAAGCCCTGCCCCTCTTGAGAAGCTCAGCAAGGTGTGTCCTCACCACCCTCCCTGCAGCCGGGGCCAGACTGGGCTGGGTTCAGTCTCAGGGACTCTCTCGGGGGGTGAGGAGCACAGCCTGGGCAGGCAGTAGGATGGGCCGGGAGGGCCCTGCACACCCAGGGCACCGACGCAGGCCCCTGCTAGCGCTGGCCGTGAGCCTCCTCCTCACCTGCTGGCCAGGTAAGTGGGACTGGGCTGGGGCTCACTGAGGAGCTGGACGGATTCATATAGGAGAGAGGCTGGTATGACAGGTGATTTGTGCTTCCTAAGCCCCAGCAGGGACAGCCAGGAGGTCTTTTGCTTTTGCTTTTGCTTTTCTGTAAATGCCTCCTCCAGCCCGACCCAATGAATCTGCATTTACCAGACTGACGTGGGCGAGTTCACAAAACCGCTGTATTGTGAATTGAGTATCTGCCGAGATGAGTGTGGAAACACCCAAGGATTCCTTCCATCACCGACTCACTCACACACTCACTCCCTGAGGGGGTTTTAGCGGCACCTCCAGTCCCAGTATCTGTGCCCAGCTCTCAGGGACAGAAATGAGCAAGTCGCCGCCGCAGGGTTCCAGGAGCTCCGATCTGGTGGGCGAGAGAGACTGGGGCGTCCAGTCAGTCGGGGTACAGGGCTGAGCAGGAACTTTGCTAAGAGGCATTGATGGGGTAAGGGTGGTGGCGGTGGGGGCAGGGGTCTTAAACTGCAGGGTGGCATCTGAATTGCACAGGGTTGGAATTTTACAGGCACACTTAGGAGCAAAAGAGAAGGGCGTTCCCGGCAGCGGGGACGGAGTAGGCATGGACTAGGAGGCAGGGAGCCATCAGGCGTATCTGGGTCCTTTCCTGTGAGCTGCATGTATCTGGGCTGCGTGATGGGGAGATACCGAGGGAAGGACTGGAAGCAGAAACGCAGCGTGGGAGGGCTGTGGGAGGCATGTTCCTGGGTCCAAAGGGGTCTTTCAAGAACTGTTGGTCATTTTAGGAGATTAGCCTGGACATTACTGCCCAGAGAAAAGACCCTGGGCTCAGGGAAGGGCTGGCATCCAGCTTGGTGTTTCTGTGTGTTGTTGCGGGCTTAAGGGAGCCAGCCTCTCTTCCCTACAGGGAAGTTTCAAGATTGTTCATACCTGAACCCAGGACTGCCCAAACCCACCCAGAACTTATTTTACTCCGGTTGCCTCCGAGGGCAGGAAGTTGGGGCTTTTTCACCAAACAGCCCTCGTGTGCAAGATGAACTGAGGCTTGCAGAAGAGGAGATCTATAATGAGCTGGGTGCTCAGATGTCTGTTCATTTACTCAGAGGAGGAGGAAGGACTGTTTCTCACAGCTTGGCCTGGAAACGGAGGCCACGAGGGGCCTCAAGGGGTTGGGGTTGGGGGAGGCCCATCCACCTCCTCCATCCGGGGAGGGGGGGTGCCCTGGATGCAGACAGACTGTGATTCACCTGCCCCCATGCCCTTCCCTACTCGGGCCCCGGATCTAGCCTGAGAAGCAGGTGAGGAAGGCACCCCAGTCCCCCAGCCCTGAGTCACCGAGGCCGGGCAGTCGGGGACGGAGGGAGAGCTTTGTGGTTGGACACCATTGTGAGGCCTCCACACAATGGCCTGAATGGTGGGCGGGTTTGTATAGGACAACCCCACCACCTCCAGTGGGGCGTGTCCCCCTGACCTGTACTCAAAGCAGGTCACCACCAACAGAGGCTGTTTACTGCATTTGTCCCCAAGGTTCACTCAGGGTCTGATGCCGGGGGCTGTTTGCATTGGGCAGACCCTGCTCCTGTTTCAGGGAGGACTGGGCTTTGGGCTGACACCCCTCCCCATCCCCATCACCCCTCTGGCCACATCAGTCCCTTCCCAAGGGATTCCCCTGGAGTCAGTCCAGACACCATGCGGGATTTTTGACATAAAACACTGGAGAAGACTCTCTTAATCCCTGGCCGTAAATCTGAGCCCACTGCTGGCAAGCTGTGAGTCCTTGAGCCAGACATCTAACCTCTCTGAATTTCCATCTCCCCAAAGAGCAATTTTTAGAAGAATTCCAGAGCTGGAGAAATCCATCTCCCAGTTGCCTCTCCCTCCACCCTGTGGCTGAGAAACTCCAAGAGCCCAAAGGACCTCTGTGACCATCATTTTATTTTATTTATTTATTTGAGACAGAGTCCCACTCTGTCGCCCAGTCTGGAGTACAGTGGCGCAATCTTGGCTCACTGCAACCTCTGCCTCCCCAGTTCAAGCAATTCTCCTGTCTCAGCCTCCTGAGTTGCAGAGATTACAGGTGCCTGCCACCATGCCCAGCTAATTTTTTTTTTCTATTTTTAGTAGAGATGGGGGTTTCACCATGTTGGTCAGGCTGGTTTTGAACTCCTGACCTCAGGTGATCCACCCGCCTCAGCCTCTCAAAGTACTGGGATTACAGGCGTGAGGCACTGCGCCCGGCCCACCATCATTTTATAGGATCCACCTTCTATGTAATATGTTCCTGCACTTTACATGTGTTGTCTCCGTTGAACCTGCCTGACGGGTGAACACAGGGGCACCGTTATCCCCCATTTTGCAGAAGAGAAAACAGGCTCAGAGAGCTTAAGCCTTTTGTTTAAAGTCACACGGCCAGGATTCCAACTCCAGTTTCTGGATGATTCCTAAATGCTGGTTTTTATCCTTTGCCTGGGAAGAGACTGAAGGTTGAGGATTTCTCCTCTCCTGGCAGTTTCTGGGTACGTGAGTCCCCCCACACCGCCGAGGAAATGAGTTCTGTACTGCCCGTCCCAGGAGAAGGGCTGTGAAGACACAGAACATAGGCAGATCTCATTGTGCGCTGCTGAGCCCCTTCCTGGGTCCCTGAACAGTGGTCATTGTCCCAGCCCAGGCCTGGCCAGGGGGATATGAAGTTAAGGGAGTTGGATTATGAAGGGAAGGGGGCATTGGTGGGAGTGGGTGTGTGTAGTGGGCATGGGTGGAACTGTGAGGTGGGTTCCTGGTCTAACCTGCCCTTGCCAGAGTTACAGTTTATCTTTCACCACTTTTGGTTCACCAAAAAGCAGAAAGGTTTGCTTACTGTTTCCTCCAATCCTGGAGAGAGAGTTACCTTTCTTCCCAGTTGCTGGGTAGCAAAGGAAGACAATGGGTCCAAGAGGGGCAGGCCTGGCTGGGTGTACTCTCTCTCTCTCTCTCTCTCTCTCTCTCTCTCTCTCTCTCTCTCTCTCTCTCTGTGTGTGTGTGTGTGTGTATGTGTGTGTGTGTTGTGAGACGGTGTCTTACTCTGTCGCCCAGGCTGAAGTGTAGTGGCGTGATCTCGGCTCACTGCAGCCTCCGCCTCCCGGGTTCAAGTGATTCTGCTGCCTCAGCCTCCCTAGTAGCTGGGATTACAGGCGTGTGCCACCACACCCAGGTAATTTTTGTGTTTTTAGTAAAGATGGGGTTTCAACATGTTGGCCAGGCTGGTCTTGAACTCCTGGCCTCAAGTGATCGGCCTGCCTCAGCCTCCCAAAATGCTGGGAGTACAGGCCTGAGCCATGGTGCCCGGCCGGCCTGGGCATTCTTTATGCTCAGTGGATTCGTCTGGTCACTTGGTTCTCCCAGGGTGGATTGAGCAAGTGAAGGAGACTCTTCCTACCTCTCTGGAGCCTCAAGGGCCAGAAGGCCAGACATAGCAGATTATCCAAGCATGCACTCATGCTGATTGTAGATTCAGTGGTCCAGATGACCATCCCCGTTTTATAGATGAGAGAACAGAAGCTCAAAGAGGAAGGGCTGGGTGCGGTGGCTCACGCCTGTAATCCCAGCACTTTGGGAGGCCGAGGTAGGTGGATCACCTGAGGTCAGGAGTTCGAGACCAGCCTGGCCTACAGGGTGAAACCCTGTCTCTACCAAAAAATACAAAAATTAGTCAGGCATGGTGACACACGCCTGTAGCCTCAGCTACTCGGGAGGCTGAGGCACGAGAATCGCTTGAACCCTGGAGGCAGAGGCTGCTGTGAGCTGAGATCGCACCACTGCACTCCAGCCTGGGCAACAGAGTGAGACCTTGTCTCAGGAAAAAAAAAAAAAAAAAAAAAGCTCAAAGAGAAGACCCCCAGGTAGCCAGGGTAGAACTGAACCCATTCTCTTGATCTTCCTGCCATTATCCAGGCCCGACTTCTAATCCAGGTACCAGCCTCTTCTTCTCCACCTTGGAGGTGCTCCCAAAAGCTCCTCACTCCTGCAGCTCAGAGCTGTGCCCAGGGACCTAAACTGATCACAGTCCCAGAGCCGCAGGGACAAATGCCAGGTCAGGAGGACACAGATCGCAGTAGGATGACCAGTAGGATATCCCAGTTTGCTTGAGCCTGAGGCAGTTCCTTCGATGAGGGACTTTAGTAAAACTAAGAAAGCCCTGGGTAGACCAGGACATGAGGGTCACTCTTCCATCCCAGATGCTCTCCTATACGGATTTCCTTCCTGACACTTCCTCTCTTCAGCCTGTTCCAGTACCTGGCACATAGTAAGTGTACAAGACATATTTGTTACATGAATGAATGAATGAATTAACAAGGTAATAGACTACTTCCCCCCCACCCCCCACTGTATTGAGTTATACTCGAAAAATAAATATTGCATGTATTTATATAAAAGTAGAACTACCATATGATCCAGCAATCCCACCATATACATATACAACATGTACAATACACTGCTTTGATATATGTACATCTTGTGAAATGATTACCACAATCAAGCTAATTAACATACCCATCATCACCTCACATGATTACCTTTTTTTATGTTGTGAGAACATTTAAGATAAACTCTTTTTAGCATGTTTCTTTCTTTCTTTCTTTTTTCTTTGAGATGGAGCAACTCTTGTTGCCCAGGCTGGAGTGCAGTGGTGCAATCTCGGCTCACTGCAACCTCTGCCTCCTGGGTTCAAGCAATTATCCTGCCTCAGCCTCCTGAGTAGCTGGGATTACAGGCTAATTTTGTATTTTTAGTAGAGACGGGGTTTCCCCATGTTGGTCAGGCTGGTCTTGAACTCCTGACTTCAGGTGATCTGCTTGCCTTGGCCTCCCAAAGTACTGGGATTACAGTCGTGAGCCACTGCTCCCAGCCTTCTTTTACCATATTTCAAGTATATAATACAGTGTTACTACCTATAGTCACCATGCTGTACATTAGGTCTCCAGAACTTGTTCATCCTGCATAACTAAAACTTTATACCTGCCTGCTGCTGGGAGTTGCTTGGAGGTTGGCAGCTTGGGGCTGAAGGCTCGCAGATGGAGCGGTCATGTCCCACAAACAAATTTACTATTCCGACAAATACGACAACGAGGAGTTTGAGTCTCAGTTAGTGCCGGCGCAGGGGCAATAGTGAGATTGTGAGAACATTTAAGACCAACTCTTTTAGCATTTTTTCTTTCTTTCCTTTTTTTTTTTTTTTGAGATGGATTTTCACTCTTGTTGCCCAGGCTGGAGTGCAATGGCATGATCTTGGCTAACTGCAACCTCCGCCTCCCGGGTTCAAGCGATTTCCCTGCCTCAGCCTTCCAAGTAGCTGGGGTTACAGGCGTGCACCACCATGCCTGGCTAATTTTGTATTTTTAGTAGAGATAGGGTTTCACTGTGTTGGTCAGGCTGGTCTCGAACTCCTGACCTCAGGTGATCTGCCTGCCTCAGCCTCCCAGAGTGCTGGGATTACAGGCATGAGGCACCGCACCTGTCCACGAGGTTGACTTTTTTAGATTCCACACGTGAGTGAGATCATGCAGTAATTGTCTTTTTGTGACTGGCTTATTTCACTTCGCATAATGTCCTCCAATTCATCCATGATGTCATATATGGCAGAATGTCTTTCTTTTTAAAGACCGAATAATATTCCACTGTAGATAAACCACAATTTTTTTGTCTGTTCATCCATTGGTGGACACTTAAATTGTTTCCATATCTTGGCTACTCTGAATAATGCTACAATGAACGTGGGGGGTGCAGATGTCTCTTGGAGATACTGATTTGATTTTGTTTGGATTGTGAACTCAAAGTATTTGAGATAGGTCTCCATCCATTTAGAAAGTTTATTTTGCCAAGGTTGAGAACACGCCTGTGACAGCCTTAGGAGGTCCTGATGACATTTGCCGAAGGTGGTCAGGGTGCAGCTTGTTTTTATACACTTTAGGGAGACATGAGACATCAATCAAGATGTGTAAGATACAATGGCTTGGTCTGGAAAGGCAGGGCAACTTGAAGTGGCAGCGGCGTGGGCGGGGGGGTGGGGAGGGGGCCGGTTTCCAGGTTATAGGTAGGTAAGAGACAAATGGTTGCATACTTTTCAGTCTTTTTTTTTTTTTTTTTTTTTTTTTTTGAGATTAAGTCTCGCTCTGTCGCCCAGGTTGGAGTGCAGTGGTGCGATCTCGGCTCACTGCAAGCTCCGCCTCCAGGGCTCATGCCATTCTCCTGCCTCAGCCTCCTGAGTAGCTGGGACTACAGGCACCCGCCACCACGCCTGGCTAATTTTTTGTATTTTTACTAGAGACGGGGTTTCACCGTGTTAGCCAGGATGGTCTCGATCTCCTGATCTTGTGATCCGCGCACCTCAGCCTCCCAAAGTGCTGGGATTACAGGCGTGAGCCACTGCACCCGGCTACTTTTGAGTCTTTGATTAGCCTTTCACTGAATACACAGTTTACACGTGAGAGGGAGGTAGAGGAATAGTCACTTAAACCTTAGTCTGGGTCCATAAATCTGCATTTTTACATGAACAATAGGGCAGAGGAAGCAATCAGATATGCATTTCTCTCAGGCGAGCGGAGGGATGACTTTCTGTCCCGCATCTGTAAAGATAAGCTGTCCATTTACATTGCCAAGGTGAAATTCAACAGAACTGTTTTAGGGTAAATATCTTGAGTCCCACAAAGAATTTCCTTGTGGGCAAATTTTGAGGGAGGTATGTTGCTTTTTAAATCTTGGTAGCTATTGGCCGGGTGCGGTGGCTCACGCCTGTAATCCCAGCACTTTGGGAGGCCAAGGCAGGCAGATCACGAGGTCAGGAGTTCGAGACCAGCCTGACCAGCATGCTGAAACCCCATCTCTACTAAAAACAAAAAAAATTAGCCAGGCGTGGTGGTGCGCGCCTGTAATCCCAGCTACTCAGGAGGCTGAGGCAGGAGAATCACTTGAACCTGGGAGGTGGAGGTTGCAGTGAGCCGAGACTGAGCCACTGCACTCCAGCCTGGGCGACAGAGGGAGACCCCGTCTAAAACAAACAAACAAACAAACAAACAAACAATTTGGTAGCTATCTTATTTGGGAATGAAATGGGAGGCTGGTTTGCCTGATGTAGTTCTCAACCTGACTTTTCCCTTTGGCTTTGTGATTTTGGGGTCTCGAGATTTATTTTCCTTTCACAGTATATGTTCCAAGAAGTGGGATTGCTGGATCATATGGTAGTTCTACTTTTATTTATTTATTTATTTTAGAGACAAGATCTTGCTCTGTCACCCAGGCTGGAGTGCAGTGGCACAATCATAGCTCACTGCAGCCTCCAATTCCTGGGCTCAAGCCATCCTCCTGCCTCAGCCTGTCAAGTCACTGGGACTACAGGCATCAATCACCATGCTCAGCTCACAGGTTTTTTTTTTTTGTTTCTTTTTTTGTTTTTTGTGACGGAGTCTTCCTCTGTTGCCCAGACTGCAGTGCAGTGGAGTGATCTCAGCTCACTGCAACCTCCACCTCCCGGGTTCAAGTGATTCTCCTGCCTCAGCCTCCTGAGTAGCGGGGATTACAGGCACCTGCCACCATGCCTGGCTAATTTTTCTACTTTTAGTAGAGACGGGGAGTTTCACCATGTTGGCCAGGCTGGTCTCAATCTCCTGACCTCAAGTGATCCGCCCGCCTCGGCCTCCCAAAGTGCTGGGATTACAGGTGTAAGCCACCGTGCCCGGCTCATAGTTCTATTTTTAATTTTTTGAGGAACCACAGGAAGTGAGTAGGGTCTCTGCCTCAATCCACACCGGATGGAGTTTTCATTCTCTTCTTTCATGCCTGGCTTCTAGAGATGTCGTCACTCTTCCCAGGAGAGGAGACATCCCCTCCTTTCTCAACCTGGAAAAGAAGGACTCTTTATTATTCTTTTTTTGTGGAGGGGAGGTCCCTTGATGTGAGATTTTGCACACTGATATCAAGGAAGGGTCCTCTTTGCAGTTTTACTCTATCAAGAAGGGCCCTTTACCTCTTTAGTCAATACTTTTGAAGAGATTCATTCATTCAATTTGTTCAATGAGTATTTATTGAGCACCTACTGTGTGCAGGCACTGTTCTAGGCAATGAGGGGATGGCTGTGAGCAAATCAAAAGATCCCTGCTGAGCTGACACTTTCAGCAAAGGGGGATGACCTTAAACCAAAACCAGAGTAAGTACGTGATGCATTGTTAAGAAGGGAATAAGGGGGCCGGGTGCAGTGGCTCACACCTGTAATCCCAGCACTTTGGGAGGCTGAGGCGGGTGAATCCCCTGAGGTTGGGAGTTTGAGACCAGCCTGACCAACATGGAGAAACCCCATCTCTACTAAAAATACAAAATCAGCAGGGTGTGGTGGCGCATGCCTGTAATCCCAGCTGCTCGGGAGGCTGAGGCAGGAGAATCGCTTGAACATGGGAGATGGAGGTTTCAGTGAGCCAAGATTGAGCCATTGCACTCCAGAAAAGAAGGGAATAAGGAGAAAAGAAACAGGATGGAGACTCGGGGGTGCTGGAGTGTGTTGTGGGGGCACATTGCTCTTTCCAATAAAGTGGGTTCAAGGAAAGGCCCTCACTGAGAAGCTAAGACTTGAGGGGTGGGGTTCTTGTTACAGATTCACGACTAGCTCATCTCAGGTTGACCTTGTTGCAATGCCTGGGGAGGTGTATGCTGCTATTTCTGCTTTAACTGTAGGGAAACTGGGGCTCAGTGAAGCGAGTTGGGGCAGAACCAGGATGAAACCCAGAACTCTAGGACTTGAGTTCCTGCCCAGTGAGTATGCGTGTGGATAAGTGTGTGATTATGTGTCTGTGTGTGCCTTGTGTGTGTCTGCATGAGCATGTGTGTGTTAGAGTGAATGTGCATAAGTGTGTGCACGTGTCCATGTGTGAGTGTGCAACTTAGTGCTTGCGTGCATACTTGTGTGTGCATCCACCTATGTGTCTACAAGTGTGTGCGATGAGTGTCTGAGTGTGCACAGGTGTGACTGAGCGTGTGTGCATAAGCATGTGTGAATATGTGTGCGAGTGTGAATATGTGTGTGCATGTGTGTATGCATGTGTGCATAGGTGTGTGGGTGTGCATGAATGAGGGTGTGCTTGTTTTTCAGCATGTGTGTCCATGTGTGGGTGTGTTTGAATGCTTACATGTGAGTGTGTAGCTGTGTGTGTGTGCATATGTATTTTGCATACATATGTATGTGCATTTGTGTGTGTATTAGCGTGTGCATGAGTGACTGAGTCTGCACATGTGTGAGACTGTGTGAGTATGTACATAAGTTTAAGTGTGTGCATGAGTGTTTGTATTCGTGCATGTGTGTCCGTGTGTAAGAGTGTGTGTGCATGCATGCAAATGAGTTTTTGTGTGTGCATAAGTGTGAGAGAGTGTGCATGAGTGTTTGTGTGTGTGCATGTGTGGGTAAATATGTTTTCCCTCCTCTTCCTCTGGGGCAGCAGGGGTCCTCCTTTGCCGCTCGTGGCAAAATATCCTGCTTTCCTCAGTTGGGGAGGAGAGCCCTTAGCTTGTTCTTTCTAGGGTAAGTAGCAAGACAAAGGAGCAGTTGGTGCCAACATCCCCCCAAGGACCTCCAGCAGTCCCTGTGGGGACAGGCCAGGCCAGTGGGGCTGAATGGGGCCAGGGGACTCAGCCCATTGTCCAAAGTGGCTCAGCCCTTCCTGGGTGGGAGAGAGGAGGTGGGCCGGGGCCATCCTGGGCTGGAGGGCCCCACCCTGTCCCTCTCCTCATCTCTGCCTGGGATGAGAGGTCCAGGGGGCTGCCCTGGCTGGTCTGGCCACATACCTGAGTGGAGCTGGGCCTCCCACCTGTCAAGGAAACAAACACTGCGGTGCAGGGAGGCAGCCTGCCTGATTGTCCCCACCCTCCCTGGACCTTTCATCCCACCCTGAACAATCCCATCTGCTTCATTTAACCCTTTGTCAGACCTGTTTTGGTGCACTTGTCCTAGCACTTGCAGCTCTGCCAACCCTGTCCCCAACACACAGTGAATCTGAGCCGGGCTTCTCATCCTTATCCTGGCTCTGATCCACCCCCTCTCAGTGACTCTGAACCCACATTGCCCCCTTCCCCTAATAATAAAAAGAATTACACTCTGGGGTAAGTGCTATTCTAGAGCAAGTCATGATAATGATAATAGCTAACAGGGAACACTAACATGTACCAGGCACTCTTTTAAGCTCTTTACAGATATGAATTCATTAAATCCTCATAACAACTTGGAGGACAATAGGAGGTACGTCCTATTATCATTTCCATTTTGCAGAAAAGGAAACCAAGGCGCAGTTAGTTATGCAACCTGTCCAAGGGCACATAGCTGCTATGTGGTAGGGCTGGGCTTTGACCCTGGGCAGACTGGGTCTGTAAGACCCTAGTGATTCTGACCCAGCTCCCCTGTGATCTGAGACATCCTCTTTCTCAGTGACTCCCAGTATTGAGAGAACGAGGCAAAGAGATGAGGTAGGGAGGAAGGCAGGTGCTGCCTATCAGACGATGAGCTGATGCAGGAGCTAACATTAATTATTAGCTATTAGCTAAAAAGTCTAATAGTCTTTTTAGACTGGGATCCATGGTAAGAAATACATTGCACATTGTGTACCAGTGTGCAATGTATTGTGTACCAGTGTACCAGTACCATCCTACCATTGTGACCAGTTTTGCTTATAGATGCATGATGAAAATACTTTTTTCTTTTTTCTTTTCTTTTTTTTTTTTTTTGAGAAGATGTTTCACTCTTGTTGCCCAGGCTGGAGCGCAATGGCGCGATCTCGGCTCACTGTAACCTCTGCCTCCTGGGTTCAAGCAATTCTCCTGCCTCAGCCTCCCGAGTAGCTGGGATTACCGGTGCCCACCACCATGCCTGGCTAATTTTTTGTATTTTTAGTAGAAATGGGGTTTCACCATGTTGGCCAGGCTGGTCTTAAACTCCTGACCTCAGGTAATCCACCCACCTCAGCGTCCCAAACTGTTGGGATTACAGGCGTGAGCCACCGTGCCCAGCCCCTGATGCCTTTTAATTCTATTATATTCTCTTATTTATTTATTTATTTTGGATGCTGCTCTCAACCCACTGAACAGGTTCGTTATCTGCCTGTCTCCATGGCAACAACCCTGTATGCTACAACCTGGACCAATCCCACTGAAGCGAGGTTTCTCAATCCCAGCACAAATGTCAATGGATTTGGGTCTCATAATCCTTTGGGGAGGTAGGGTGGGCTGTCCCATATATTGGTCAAGTGCTAAACAGTATCCCAGGTTCCCTACAACGGGATGGCAGCAGCACTCCCACCAACCAAAAATGTCTTCAGACATTGCCAAATGCAGCCTGTTGCAGTACCTGGCACATAGTAGTTGTGCAATAAATATGTGTTGCATGAATGAAGGGGGCAAATAGAGTCACGGAGGGCCATGAAAGGAGGGTTCTCATGCTGGTATGCCTGATAACAACTATCACAAAAGATTCCAAAAGCCACAACCTTGCACAAAGGCCACCTCAACCTTACGCAAAAAATACTCCTGCAGGCCGGGCACGGTGGCTCACACCTGTAATCCCAGCAGTGTGGGAGGCTGAGGCAGGAGGATCCCTTGAACCCAAGACGCTGTCTGTCTTTTTTTTTTTCCTTGAGATGGAGTCTTGCTCTGTTGCCCAGTCTGGAACTGGAGTGCAATGGCGTGATCTCCGCTCACAGCAACCTCCGCCTCCTGGGTTCACCGCCATTCTCCTGCCTCAGCCTCCCGAGTAGCTGGGATTACAGACACGCACCACCACACCCGGCTAATTTTTTGTATTTTTAGTAGAGATGGGGTTTCCCCATGTTGGCCAGGCTGGTCTTGAACTCCTGATCTCGTGATCCATCCGCCTCAGCCTCCCAAAGTGCTGGGATTACAGGCCTGAGCCACCGCACCCAGCCTGCTCTCTCTCTCTTTTTTTTTTTTTTGAAATGGAGTCTTGCTCTGTCACCCAGGCTGGAGTACAGTGGCATGATCTCAGCTCACTGTAACCTCCACCTCCCGGGTTCAAGTGGTTCTCCTGCCTCAGCCTCCTGAATAGCTGGGACTACAGGCTCCCGCCACCATGCCTGGCTAATTTTTGTGTTTTCAGTAGAGACAGTGTTTCACCATATTGGCCAGGCTGGTCTCAAACTCTGACCTTGTGATCTGCCCGCCTCAGCCTCCCAAAGTGCTGGGATTAAGGCATGAGCCACCGTGCCCAGCCTTCCAAGACGCTGTCTCTACAGAAAAGGTGTTATCCTTGTTATCGATCTTTGTAGCCAAGGACAAATATTTCAAAACTATTATGCAATTCTCCTCAATTTTTCCTCTAAAAAGCTTTGTCTTCCTGAATAGGCACGTATATTACAGTGGCATGCATATTCCCACTGCAATGTTCTATTCCCAAATGAACATATTTTCCTTTAGAGAGTCTGTCTCTGTTTGCTATTTAGGTTGACAGGGGTTTGGCTAGTTAGTCTAAGAAACTGGGATTGCTCTATCTTATCATAAATTCCTCTCCTCCCTGGAGCCCTAGGAAGCTGGCTTCTTCCATCTCAGAAGTTTGTAGGGAGTGAAATAATCTATCAGGAGTATGTGGATAATTTAGTGCCATTCAGTAGGACCGTGTGTGTGTGTGTTTGTGTGTATTTTCTTGGTGAGGGCTGTAGGTATGAAAATACACATCCAATAAAAGTTTCCCCAAAATTTCAGTCATTCACATTTTTACATCCCATGGTCTTTTTCCTTTTTTGTTTTTTTTTTTCTCTCTTCTACATATGGGTAGCCCAGTTATCTCAGCACCACTTATTGAATAGGGAGTCCTTTCCCCATTGCTTGTTTTTGTCAGTTTTGTTGAAGATCAGATGGTTGTAGGTATGTGGCATTATTTCTGGGCTCTCTATTGTGTTCTATTGGTCTATATGTCTATTTTTGTACCAGTACCATGCTGTTTTGGTTACTATAGCCTTGTAGTATAGTTTGAAGTCATAGCCTCTGATCTTGAGGACTTTATTTGCTTATTTATTCATCCATTTTTGAGATGGAGCCTGGCTCTCTCACCCAGGCTGGAGTGCAGTGGCATGATCTCGGCTCACTGCAACCTCTGCCTCCCAGGTTCAAGTGATTCTTCTGCCTCAGCCTCCCAAGTAGCTGGGATTACCCAGCTAATTTTTGTATTTTTATGGAGATGGGGTTTCACGTTGGCCAGGCTGGTCTGGAACTTCTGACCTCACGTGATCCACCCACCTTAGCCTCCCAAAATGCTGGGATTACAGGCATCAGCCACGGTGCCTGGCCAATCTTGAGGACTTTATAGCCTCTTCTTTGTCCTTGTAACATCATCTCCTTAGTCTTTGAGCACTTCCTTGCTTTCTGGCAGAATTATCTCTTAATAATGCTAACCTGGTCACAACCCTCACCCGTTGCTTCAAATCCTCCGTGACTTTCCATTGCACTTCCAAGAAAATCTAAACTTCATACATCACTGGTTTACAACCCTTCCTCCTCTTTCTCCTCATTAGATCTGACCTCTGCTTACCCAGCTGGTTTCGCCTTACACTCCAGCCAGAAAGCACTCCAGTGCTTTCTCAATGCACTCTGGCCACCCTGGCCTTCTTGAAATTTCTCGAGTGGGTCAGGTTTATTCCAGCCTCTGGGCTTTTGCATATATAGTTCCCTCCATCACAAGCACATTTCCCCTGTGATAAGTACCTTCTCATCTCTCAGGGCCCTCCTTAAATATTACCTCCTATGAGAAGTCTTCCCTGATGACTCTATGGAAAATTATGCTTCTCTCCCATTGGTAGAGTGACTTCAAAATTCCCTTCACTCTCTGCAAGGACATTAATTATTTATCTGTTGGATGAATCGTTGTCTGCTTTCTCCACTAGGATGTAAACTTTTTTTTTTATACTTTAAGTTCTGGGGTACATGTGCAGAACGTGCAGGTTAACAAACATACGTATACATGTGCCATGGTGGTTTGCTGCACCCATCAACCCATCATCTACATTAGGTATTTCTCCTAATGTTATACCTCCCCTATAGCCCCCCAACCCCCAACAGGCCCCAGTGTGTGATGTTCCCCTACCTGTGTCCATGTGTTCTCATTGTTCAACTCCCACTTATGAGTGAGAACATGCAGTATTTGGTTTTCTGTTCTGGACATAAACTTTTTGAGGGAGTAAAGACTTGTCTTGTTCCTCACTCTGTGCCCCAAACTTGGAATTGTTGCCAAAACACCAGGGGTCCAGGCTAGGTCCTGCTGCTCACCACACAGAAAGTCAATCACTGAGACAACGATTATTACCAAGGAAGAAGACTTTAATCTCCTTGGCTGCAGTGAGAAAATGGGAGCTCAGTCTTAAATCCATCTCCCTGACCAACTAAAATTACAGGTTTATATAGCAGGGAAGAAATGTGACTACGTGTAGTAAAACAGGAAATCAAGAGGGGTCAGGAAGCAATCATGAGGAATGAGGGGTCTGACATCTCATTGTCTGGATATGATGATCTGCTGAGTTTCTTTTCTTTGATACTTTTTGAGAGGACTGGGGGTCCTTTAATGAGGAAGGAACTCAGATAAAACAAATGTAAGTTTCCCACAGAATGGGAGAAAATATTTGTAAACTATGCACCTGACAAAAGTCTAATATCCAGCATCTATAGAGAACTTAAGTAAATTTACAAGAGAAAAACAAACAACACCATTAAAAAGTGGGCAAAGGCCGGGCACGGTGGCTCACAACTGCAATCCCAGCACTTTGGGAGGCCAAGGCGGGCAGATCACTATGTCAGGAGTTCGAGACCAGCCTGACCAACATGGTGAAACCCTGTCTCTACTAAAAATACAAAAATTAGCCGGGCACGGTGGTGCACGCCTGTAATCCCAGCTACTCAGGAGGCTGAGGCAGGAGAATCACTTGAACCTGGGAGGCGGAGGTTGCTGTGAGGCGCGATCACTACTGCACTCCAGCCTGGTCGACAGAGTGAGACACTGTATCAAAAAAAAAAAACCAAAAAACAAAAAAAACAGACACTTTTTGAAAGAAGAGATACATGTAGCCAAGAAGCATATGAAAAAAATGCTCACTATCACTGATCATTAAAGAAATGCAAATCAAAACCACAATGAGATAGCATCTCACCATAGTCAGAATGGCTATTATTAAAAAGTCAAAAAATAACAGATGCTGGCAAGGTTGTGGAGAAAATTGAACATTTATACACTGTTGGTGGGAGTGTAAATTAGTTCAACTATTGTGGAAAGCAGTGTGGCAATTCCTCAAAGAGCTAAAAGTAGAACTACCATTTGACCCAGCAATCTCATTATTGGGTATATACCCAGAGAAATATAAATCATTCTACCATAAAGACATATACACGTGAATGTTCATTGCAGCACTATTCCCAATAGCAAAGACAATGGAATCAACCTAAACGCCCATCAATGACAGATTGGATAAAGCAAATGTGATACATATACACCATGGAATACTATGCAGCCATAAAAAAGAACAAGATCATTGCTTTTGCGGGAACATGGATGGGGCTGGAGGCCATTATCCTTAGCAAACTAACCCAGGAACAGAAAACCAAATATTGCATGTTCTCACTTAGAAGTGGGAGCTAAATGATGATAACTCATGAACACAAAGAAGGGAATAAAAAACACTGGGGTCTACTTCATGGTAAGCGTTAGGAGGAGAGAGAGGAGCAGAAAAAATAACTATTGGGTACTAGGCTTCATACCTGGGTGATAAAATCATTTGTACAACAAACCCCGTGACATGAGATTACCTATATAACAAACCTTCACACGTAGCCCCAAACCTAAAATAGTTAAACAATAACAAATGTCAGTTTCAAGTATTTAAATAGGTATATAAATACTGTCTATGAGACTATCGGGTTGGTTTCAGAATCAGCTGTCGTATAAAAGGTGCTCAAGACATATTTGCTGGTTGGATGAATGAGTGACTGAGGGTCTGGAATAAATATTAAATAAATGAAATGGTAAATGAACGAGTCACTATGCAGAGATTCCTATGGAAAGAAGAGCAAGTCCAGAAGAAATTTTTTTTTTATGTTTTTCGTTCTACTTCCTGCTGGGATAACCAACTTGGTTCTTCCTCCACAGGGCTGCCTTTCGACGCAGTGGTCTTTGCCCAAACCACAGACCAAGGAACACTTGGAGCCACCAGGCAGTTGACCCACGACCCTTCCTCCCCGGCGTCACTCATCAGCTCCGTGGGTAGGTAATAATAAAATAAATAATAATAATAATAATAATTAAATAATAATAAATAATAAAAACCAGTAACAGGCTGGGCGGTGGCTCACGCCTGTAATCCCAGCACTTTGGGAGGCTGAGGCAGGCGGATCACGAGGTCAAGAGATCAAGACCATTCTGGCTAACACAGTGAAACCCCATCTCTACTCAAAATACAAAAATTAGCCAGGCGTAGTGGCGCACACCTGTAGTCCCAGCTGCTTGGGAGGCTGAGGCAGGAGAATTGCTTGAACCCAGGAGGCAGAGGTTGCAGTGAGCCGAGATCACGCCATTGCACTCCAGCTTGGCGACAGTGCAAGACTCCGTCTCAAAACAAACAAACAAAAAACAAAAATAAAAAAACAAAATGACAACAAAAAACCGCCCCACCGCCCCAAAAAAAAACAGTAACAGGAGTTTATTAAGTCCTAATTCCTTCACCCTGCATGGTGGATCACATCACTGCATCATCTCAACAGCCCTCTGCTGTTATCCCCGTTGGGCATATGAGGAGACAAGGCTCAGAGAGGTTAAGTGACTTGCCCCAGATCACACAGTGAGTAATTGGGACTTGAGTCCCACTGAGTCCACTTCTTTCATTTTCCTCCCACTGTGCATTTTGTTTCCTGCTCTGGGAAGATTGCAATTGGCTTGATTTTAGGAAGGAAAGAAAATGAGTCTTCAAGAGATGATTTGGGCTGGGCACAGTGGCTCACACCTTGTAATCCCAGCACTTTGGTAGGCCAAGGCGGGTGGATCACTTGAGGTCAGGAGTTCAAGAACAGCCTGGCCAACATGGTGAAACCCCATGTTCTCTACTAAAAATACAAAAACTAGCCAGATGTAGTGGTGCCAGCCTGTAATCCCAGCTACTCAGGAGGCTGAGGCAGGAGAATCGTTTGAACCCAGGAGGTGGAGGTTGCAGTGAGCCAAGATCGCATCACTGCACTCCAGCTTGGGTGACAGAGTGAGACTCCGTCTCCCCACCACCCCAAAAAAAGAGAAAGGTGATTTGAATCTGAGGACTGTGTAAGTAAACTCTGTGTCTTCTGCCTTACTCACAAATATTGGCAGGCTGGCATGGCGGTGAGTGCCTGTAGTCCCAGCTACTCAGGAGGCTGAGTCAGGAGGATTGGTTGAGCCCAGAAGTTGGAGAGTGCAGTGAACTATGATTGCACCATTGCATTACAGCCTGGTTGACAGAGAAAGACCCTGTCTCAAAAACAAAAAACAAAAAACAGGCCAAGCACAGTGGCTCACACCTGTAATCCCAGCACTTTGGGAAGCTGAGGGATGAGGATCACTTGATCCCAGGAATTTGAAATTAGTCTGGGTACCATGGTGAAATCCCATCTCCATAAAAAAATATATATATATACACACACACACACACACACATATATATATACACACACACATATATATATATATATTAGGTGGGTATGGTGGCATGCACCTATACTTCCAGCTACTAGGGAGGCTGAGGCGGACAGATTGCTTGAGCCTAGAAGTTGGAGGCTGTAGTGAGCCATGATTGAACCACTGCACTGCAGCCTGGGCAGCAGAGCAAAACTGTCTCAAAAGAGGGGAAAAAAAAAATGAACAAACACTGGCTTCCTCAGGAGCAGGCAGGAGAGACAGCCCGGTCCTCATCCTCCCCCTGACCCTCTCATCTACCCGCTCACCTTCTCTCTCCATATCCACAGTGTCCTAGAGGCAGATGGCGTTGATGGGGCTGCTGTGAGTGTGGCCACCAACCCTGTCACATAAACAGGCAGGTTTCCCATTGCTGGGAGATGATTCCCCAGGTGTCTCCTTGGAGGGAACCAGCCCAGGCAGGCAGAAGGGGTTCAAGGCAGGAGCCCTGCTGAGGTTCTTCCTGCTGCCTCCTGCTCCTTGCCTCTGGGTGTTAGGTCCTCCCTTTCCTAGGAGTCTAGTTCTGTTCCCTTTATTTGTTGAGACAGAATCTTGCTCTGTCGCCCAGGCTGCAGTGCAGTGGTGCGATCTCGACTCTCTTGCAACTTCCGCCTCCCGGGCTCAAGCGATTCTCCTGCCTCAGCCTCTTGAGCAGCTGGGATTACAGGCGTGCACTACCGCACTAGGTTAATTTTTGTATTTTTAGTAGCGACAGGGTTTCACCATGTTGTCCAGGGTGGTCTTGAACTTCTGACTCTGCCTGCCTTGGCCTCCCAAAGTGCTGGGATTACAGGCGTGAACCGCTGCGCCCGACCTTGTATTGGGATGATGACTTTATAAGCAGCACAACAGAGCAGTTAACAGAGGAGACACTGATATTGGACAGCTTGGGTTCAAATCCCACCTCTGCTACTTTCTGGACAAATAAGGAAACCTCTCTGAACCTCCAGTGTCTTGGGAATAAACGCCCTATGTGACCGAGTAACTGTAAAATCTGAATTAAATTACATGCTGCCTCCAAACAGTGGTTATCAACTGAATGTGATTTTTGTCTCCCAGGAGACATTTGTCATATCTGGAGACATTTTTGGTTGTCAGAAATAGGAGGGTGGGTGCCAGTGACACAAAGCAAAGCCCCTCTTCCTAACCCTGGTGAAAGCTGGAATTGTTTTAATGTGCATCCTATGAGGATGCAACTTACATTAATTAGTTAAGTGTGACTGCTGAAGGAGGGAGAGATTATTCACCATGTGAGCACTGTAAGCTTCACATCCGTTTAGGTGGCTGCTACAAAAACAAACAAAACAACACAGGAAAACATAAAAATATTATAACAAATGAGGCTGAGGATGTGCAGAAATTAGAACACTTGTGCACCGCGGGTGGGAGTCTAAATGGTGCCCCAACTGTGGAAAAGAGTATGATGCTTCCTAAAAAAAAAATTAGAAATAGAATTACCAGATAATCCAGCAACACCACTTCTGGGTATATATTGAAAAGAATTGAAAGCAGAACAGAGACTCAAGCAGGTATTTATACACCGGTGCTCATAGCAGCATTATTTACAATGCCCCAAATGTAGAAACCATCCAAATGTCCTTTGGCAGATTAATGGATTAAAAAAATATATTCCATCCCCACAATGGAATTTTTTTTTCTTTCTTTTTTTTTTTTTTTGAGATGGAGTCTCACTCTGTCGCCCAGGCTGGAGTACAATGGCGTGATCTCAGTTCACTGCAACCTCCGCCTCCTGGCTTCAAGCAATCCTCCCATCTTAGCCTCCTGAGTAGCTGGGATTATAGGGCACCACCACGCCCAGCTAGTTTTTGCATATATATATATAACATATATATGTATTTTTTTCTTTTTTGAGACAGAGTCTCGCTCTGTTGCCCAGGCTAGGGTGCAATGGCGAGATCTTGGCTCACTGCAATCTCCACCTCCTGGGTTCAAGCAATTCTCCTGTCTCAGCCTTCTGAGTAGCTGGGGTTACAGGTGCCTGCCACCATGCTCGGCTTATTTTTGTATTTTTATAGAGACAGAGTTTCACCATGTTGGCCAGGCTGGTCTTGAACTCCTGACCTCAGGTGATCCGCCGGCATTGGCCTCCCAAAATGCTGGGATTACAGGCGTGAGCCACCGTGCCCAGCCTAATTTTTGTATTTTTAGGAGAGACGGGCTTTCACCATGTTGGCCAGGCTGGTATCGAACTGCTGACCTCAAGTGATCCGCCTGCCTTGGCTTCCCAAAGTGCTGGGATTACAGGCGTGAGCCACCACTCCTGGCCCCCACAATGGAATATTATTCAGCCTTAAAAAGGAAGGACATTGTGACACATGCTACAATGTGGGTGAACGTTGAGGACAGTGTGCTAAGTGAAATAAGGCAGTCACAAAAGGACACATTCTGTATGATCCCACTTATGTGAGGTTCCTAGAGTCATCACATTCATAAAGACAGAAAGCAGAATAATGGGTGCTGGGGGCTGGGGAGGGGCAATGGGGAGCATAGTCCTTCCTATCTCCCATTCAGTTCCTCGAACTAGAGAACAACAATCCTGACTCCATACACACACAGCCCACCTACCCACAGGAACTGGGGCAGAGACATCTACCACTGTGGTGCTGATTGACAGAAGTGCCCCATTCTCTGCCTCTCCAGGGGTTCAGCTGCCCTTTTCTTTTCTTTTCGTTTCTTTTCTTTTCTTTTTTTTTTTTGGAGACTGACTGAGTCTCGCTCTGTCGCCCAGGCTGGAGTGCAGTGGCGCAGTCTTGGCTCACTGCAAGCTCTGCCTCCAGAGTTCACGCCATTCTCCTGCCTCAGCCTCCTGAGCAGCTGGGACTACAGGCGCCCGCCACCGCGCCCAGCTAATTTTTTGTATTTGTAGTGAAGACGGGGTTTCACCGTGGTCTCGATCTCCTGACCTCGTGATCCGCCCGCCTCGGCCTCCCAAAGTGCTGGGATTATAGGCTTGAGCCACCGCGCCCAGCCTCAGCTGCCCTTTCAAGCTCTACTTGTTCCTAGTCAATGCTAAGGTTACAAATTGACTAACTGTCTTCGTAAGTATTGCTTTTCAGACTCCCTGGAAAATCATCTAGGGCTACATGCCCTTGGGAATGGCTTTCCAAATTTATTTTTTAATTTTTATTTATTTATTTTTTTGAGACGGAGTTTCACTCTTGTTGCCCAGGCTGGAGTGCAATGGCTTGATCTCGGCTCACCGCAAACTCCACCTCCCGGGTTCAAGCGATTCTCCTGCCTCAGCCTCCAGAGTAGCTGGGATTACAGGCATGTGCCACCACATCCGGCTAATTTTGTATTTTTAGTAGAGATGGGGTTTCTCCATGTTGGTCAGGCTGGTCTTGAACTCCTGACCTCAGGTGATCCACCCACCTCGGCCCCCCAAAGTGCTGGGATTACAGGTGTGGGCCACCACGCCCGGCCATAAATTTCAAGACCCGCCCCCCCCGCCAACTAAGTATTACTACTAGTCTTGTTCAGCAATGCGTCATGCCTTCACCCTTTTCCCCTCCTGCACGAGATGTCCCTATGACACAGCTTGCCATCTAAATTCTAGGAAACATCGGGTACTGTAGCATTTTCAAAGATAGAAAAGATTTAGCTGAGGTCTGGCGTGGTGGCTGACACCCGTAATCCCAACACTTTGGGAAGCTGAGGAGGGAGGATTGCTTGAGCCCAGGAGTTGGAGATCACTTTAGGCAACATGACAAGACTGCATCTCTACAATTAAAAAAAGAAAAAATTAGCCAGGCATGGTGGTGCATGCCTGTAGTCCCAGCTACTCAGGAGGCCGAGGCGGGAGGATTGCTTGAGCCCAAGAGATCGGGGCTGCAGTGAGCTACGATCACACCTCTGCCCTCCAGCCTGGGTGACAGAGCAAGACCCTGTTTCAAAAATAGAAGATTCAGCTAAGAACTAAGAATGTGTGAGGACCCAAGGTAAGAAAGCACCCGAACTACTTGACATGGACAAGGCTATGACTAGGTAGTGAAATATCACTGTCTGTAGAACCTTTGGAATGCCTCTAAACAAACAGGAAACATCCTTTTCTATTTCCAAATAGGTCAAGTATTAGGTAACCAAAGTAACCAAATAGACCCGAGATTCTTTTAGCTACGTAAATAATAACTAAATCTGATACATACAAGAAGATAAACTAAAAGGATTGGCCAGCAGGGGGCACTTGTGTCTTCCTCGCGGGGTGTAGCATCTACAAAAACTACTGGTTAAATTCTAATTCTGGGCCAAGCGCAGTGGCCCAGGCCTGTAATCCCAGCACTTTGGGAGGCCGAAGCGGGCGGATCACCTGAGGTCAGGAATTCGAGACCAGCCTGGCTAACGTGGCGAAACCCCGTCTCTATTAAAAATACAAAAATTAGGCTGGGCGCAGTGGCTCACGCCTGTAATCCCAGCACTTTGGGAGGCTGAGGCGGGCGGATCACGAGGTCAGGAGATCGAGACCACCCTGGCTAACACGGTGAAACCCTGTCTCTACTAAAAATACCAAAAAAAAAAAAAAAAAAAAAAAAAAAATAGCCGGGCGTGGTGGCAGGCACCTGTAGTCCCAGCTACTTGGGAGGCTGAGGCAGGAGAATGGCGTGAAGCCGGGAGGTGGAGCTTGCAGTGAGCCGAGATCCCGCCACTGCATTCCAGCCTAGGCGACAGAGTGAGAGTCCATCTCAAACAAAACAAAACAAAACAAAACAAAACAAAACAAAACAAAACAAAACAATTAGCCAGGTATGGTTGTGCGTGCCTGTAATCCCAGCTACTTGGGAGGCTGAGGCAAGAGAATTACTTGAACCCAGGAGGCGGAGGTTGCAGTGAGCCGAGATCATGCCACTGCACTCCTGCCTGGGCGACAGAAAAGGACTCCATGTCAAAATAAATAAATAAATAAATAAATAAAATAAAATAATAAATCCTAACTCTGGCTGTGTGTGGTGTGTGGTGGCTAGTGCCTGTAATCCCAGTGCTTTGGGAGGCTGAGGCAGAAGGATCACTTGAGGCCAGGAGTTTGAGACCAGTCTGGACAACATAGTGAAACTTCAACTCTACTAAAAATTAAAAAAAAATTCTCTGGGCATAGTGGCACCCACCTGTAGTCCCAGCTACTTGAGAGGCTGAGGCAGAAGGATTACTTGAGCCCAGGAGTTCGAGGCTACAGTGAGCTAAGATCGTACCACTGCACTCCAGTCTGGGCAACAGAGCAAGACCCCATCTCTAAAGCAACATATTAACTTTATATCATGGTGTTTAAATATTGTTAACTTTACTTTAAAAACATTGTTAACTCTCTAAAGAAAATACTGTTAACTCGGCCAGGTGCAATGGCTCATGCTTGTAATCCAAGGAGGCCGAGGCAGCAGATCACCTGAGGTCAGGAGTTTGAGACCAGCCTGGCCAGCATGGTGAAACCCCGTCTTTACTAAAAATACGAAAATTAGCCAGGCATAGTGGCACATGCCTGTAGTTCCAGCTACTCGGGAGGCTGAGGCAGGAGAATTGCTTGAACCCAAAAGGCAGAGGTTGCAGTGAGCTGAGATCACACCACTGCACTTCAGCCTGAGCAACAGAGCAAGACTCCGTCTCAAAAAAAAAAAAAAAATATATATATATATTGTTAACTCTCTAAAGAAAATCCTAACTCTGCCACTTCCTGGTTCTGGGACCTGAGGCTTGTCATTTCACCTCCTTAGACTTCAGTTTCTTCAGCTGTAAAATGGGAAGGATAGCACTTGTCTCCCCAGGTTGTGGTGAGGACCAAGGCACTCCACATAACACCTGCATGTAGCATCTTCTCTGCTAATGTTTTGACCCAGTAGACAAGAGAGCGATGCAACAGGGAAAGATCAGAGCACATTCTGTACTCAAAGGAACATCCCAAAGGTGTGACATCAGTGACAGCCTGGCTGCCCAAAGCACCAGAAAGCCTGTCGTCACCAGAGGAACCAATGAGCCCAGCATTGCCCAACAAATAGCATCACTGAGGCGACCTTTGCAAGGTAGATGTCAACAGCAATCATCACCATGGGGACAACAGCCACCTCCACTGCCCTCCAGGCCACGTCTACCCAGAGCAGAATTTGCAAAATCCACAACAGCCACACCACATAGTGGATCCAGATGATTCACAACAGCAGCCTCCTAAAGTCATGAATACAGCCATGAGTATGGATTCTCCCAGCTGAGACCACAGCTACTCCTGGCTCAGTGATTCAGTCATTGAGGACAGTCTCCTGTGCCATTCCTGAGTCAATGCAATGTAGACGGTGTAGCTACTTCCACCCATGCTGATGCTCTACTTGCAAAACAATCTGTGAAGATGGTAGAAGGACTCCCATTGTATCATGTTCTCATGTCTTACTTGGGTCAAAGCCATTATTTAACCTGGAATGCCTCACCTACTGTCATCCCCAATTCCCCAATTCCTTTTTGGTCTACAAATCATGCTTTCTTTCTTTCTTTCTTTTTTTTTTTTTGAGGCCGAGTCTCGCTCTGTCGCCCAGGCTGGAGTGCAGTGGCATGACCTCGGCTCACTGCAACCTCCGCCTTCTGGGTTCAAGCAATTATCCTACCTCAGCCTCCCAAGTAGCTGGGATTACAGGAACGTGCCACCACTCCTGGCTAATTTTTGGTTCAAGTGGTCCTCCAACATCAGCCTCGCGAGTAGCTGGAACTACAGGCAAGCACCACCACGCCTGGTTAATTTTCTAAATTGTTTTGTAAAGATGGGGTCTTTCTATATTGCCCAGGCTGGATTTGAACCCCTGGCCTCAAGTGATCCTACTGCTCAGCATCCCAAAGTGCTGGGATTACAGGTGTGAACCATCATGCCCTGTTCTGAGCTTCCTTACTTAGGTGCTCTTTCCATCCTTTTCTCCTCACAGGAACTCACGAGCCTGGGGAGAATTCGTCATCCCCACATGGAACCTCAGTATGGCCAACAGGCAGCCCTCTGGTAGAAAAATCAACAATCAGTCCTGCAGGTATGCTCCAATCTCATCTCCTCCACATTGTTATGGTCTCCCGGAGCTTTGTTAATCTCTTTGAAGACGAACATTTTTGATCTTTTCCATAGGGGAAGTGCAAGGGACGCCTGTGTTGGAGTTTGCTCCCCAGCTACAGGGCTCCCTAACTTTTTATTTAACCTCCAGCTTTATGACCATGTACAAGTATGCAATTCTAATCTTTATCTTGTTTTGAGATTCTAATCCAGAGTAGTTGGGGGACAGGAAGCCCAGCCTATAACCCCTGATTTTTTTTTTTTTTTTTGAGACAGAGTCTCATTCTGTCACCCAGGCTGGAGTGCAGTGGCACAATCTCAGCTGACTGCAACCCCTGCCTCCCGAGTTTAAGCAATTTTGGTGTCTCAGCCTCCTGAGTAGCTGGGATTACAGGCGCCTGCCACCACCCCCGGCTAATTTTTGTATTTTTTGGTAGAGACGGAGTTTCACCATGTTGGTCAGGCTGGTCTTGAACTCCTGACCTCAAGTAATCTGCTCTCCTCAGGACTCTCTTGGAAGGATTTTTTTTTTTTTTTTTTTTTTTAGATGGAATTCTGCTCTTTGTCTCCCAGGCTGGAGTGCAATGGTGCGATCTTGGCTCACTGTAACCTCCGCCTCCCAGGTTCAAGTGATTCTCCTGTCTCAGCCTCCGGAGTAGCTGGAATTACAGCCACCCGCCACCACGCCCAGCTAGTTTTTGTATTTTTAGTAGAGACGGGGTTTAACCATGTTGGCCAGGCTGGTCTTGAACTCCTGACCTCAGGTGATCCGCCCGCTTTGGCCTCCCAAAGTGCTGGGATTACAGGCGTGAGCCACTGCGCCCAGCAGGAACTCTTAGTTCAGAAGAAGAGTGAGCTAATAATGTATATGTCTTATAGCACTTTTTTGCATCTAAGTTGTTTTATTTGGGATCAGAAGACTTTTATTTTCTTTTTTAAAATTTAGCTTTTATTTTAAGTTTAGGGGTACATGTGCAGGCTTGTTATATAGGTAAACTTTTGCCATTGGGGTTGGTTTTACAGATTATTTCATCACCCAGGTATTAAGCCTAGTATCCATTAGTTATTTTTCCTGATCTTCTCCCTCCTCCCACCCTCCACCCTCCAATAGGCCCTTAATTAAACTAAAGAGCTTCCGCACAGTAAAGGAAACTATCAACAGAGTAAACAGACAATCTACAGAATGGGAGAAAAGCTTTACAAACTTTGCATCTGACAAAGGTCTAATATCCAGCATCTAAAAGAAACGTGCCGGGTGTGGTGGCTCACACCTGTAATCCCAGCACTTTGGCGGATCACCTGAGGTTGGGAGTTCGAGACCAGCCTGCCCAACATGGAGAAAGCCAATCTCTACTAAAAATACAAAAATTAGCCGGGCATGGTGGCACATGCCTGTAATTCCAGCTACTCCAGGGGCTGAGGCAGAAGAATCGCTTGAACCCGGAAGGTGGAGGTTGCAGTGAGCCGAGATTGCACCACTGCACTCCAGCCTGGGTGACAGAGTGAGACTCCATCTCAAAAAAAATAAAAAATAAAAAATAAACGAATTTATAATTTAAAAAACCAGCAAAAAACAAAACAAACAAACAAAAGAAACATTACACAGTGGGCAAAGGACGTGGTTCTTCAATCATTTTGACCTGGATAAAATTGGTAGCTCCTGAGTAGAAAAGAAGATTGGGAAAGCATGAGGAATGAATTATAGTTTCACTTACCCCACCGGCCTAGGGAAAAACTCAATTCCTAGGAGACGCAGCTTAGAACCAAGGTGGGCCTCATCTTGAGAGAAATCCATGAGCCATGCCTATCTTAGTCTGTATTGCATTGCTTATAGCAGAACAGCTGAAACTGGGTAATTTACAAAGAAAAATAATGTATCTATTACAGATATGGAGGCTGGAAAGTTGAAATCCAGAGGGGCACACCTGGTGAGAGCCCTGTTGCTGGTGGGGACTCTGTGGCATCCAGAGGTAGACAGGGCATCACACGTCAAGACAGCTGAGTGCGCTAATGTGATAGCACAGGTCTCACTTCCTATTTTAAAGCTTTTCTTTTCTTTTTTTGTTTGAGATGGAGTCTCAATCTGTCACCCAGGATGGAGTGCAGTGCTGCGATCTTGGCTCACTGCAACCTCCACCTCCTGGGTTCAAGTGATTTTCCTCTCTTAGCCTCCTGAGTAGCTGGGACCACAGGTGCGCACCACTATGTCTGGCTAATTTTTGTATTTTTTTGTAGAGACATGGTTTCACCATGTTGGCCAGGCTGGTCTCGAATTCCTGACTTCAAGTAATCCACCCACCTCAGCCTCCCAAAGTGCTGGGATTACAAGCATGAGCCACCATGCATGGCCTAAAGCTTCTTTTAAAGCCACCAAGTCCCTTCCCATGTTAGCCCACTAATCCATGGGTTAGTCATGAATGGATTAATCTATTCATACGGACAGAGCCCTCATCACCCAATCACCTCTTAAAGGCCCCACCTCTCAATACTGCCACACTGGGGATTAAGTTTCAACAGAGTTTTGGAGGGGACATTCAAATCATAGTAATGCCCAAAGTGAAAAATCTTCCCTGCACTTTTCCCTCAACAAAAACAGCCAGAGATAGTGAGCTGCCAGGAAATTCTTTTTTTTTTCCTCTTCTGTCCTAAATCAGCATCGCTAGACCTTTACATGATTCAACCTCATCTTCTTCACCCTCTGGGTCATGAAATTTTATTTATTTATTTATTATTTTCTTGGGACAGACTCTGGCTCTGTCGCCCAGGCTGAAGTGCAGTGGTGTGATCTTGGCTCACTGCAACCTCCGCCTCCCGGGTTCAAGCGATTCTCCTGCCTCAGCCTCCTGAGTAGCTGGGATTACAGGTGGGCGCCACCACACCCAGCTAATTTTTTGTATTTTTAGTAGAGATGGGGTTTCACCATATTAGCCAGGATGGTCTCCATCTCTTGACCTCGTGATCTGCCCACCTCAGCCTCCCAAAATGCTGGGATTACAGGCATGAGACACCACGCCCAGCAGGCCAGGGTCATGAGATTTTAATCAAGAGCAACTTCCACTGATTCCTGAGAGTGCATCTGTGGGCCCCTGCTCTGATCTGAACAGAAGTGCCGTGTCTTCTCTGACCTCCACTTCTCAATTCAAGAGCCTTAGTATCTGCCAGTATCACACACTGAGCATTAGCTCCATCTCATGGGGGTGTAGGTAGGGGCTCTATCTGCATCTTTCTTTCTTTTTTTCTTTCTTTCCCTTCCTCCCTTCCTCACTCCCTCGGTCCTCTCTTTCTTTCCTTTTCTTTCTTCCTTCCTCCCTTCCTCCCTCCCTCCCTCTCTCTTTCTCTCTTTCTTTCTTTCCTTCTTTCTTTCTTTCTCTCTTCCTTCCCTCCCTCCCTCCTTCCTTCCTTTCTCTTTCTTTCTCTTTCTTTCTTTTTTTCCTTCCTTCCTTCCTTCTTTCTCTTTCTCTCCCTCCCTTCCTTCCTTCCTTCCTTCCTTCCTTCCTTTCTTTCTTTCTTTCTTTCTTTCTTTCTTTCTTTCTTTCTTTCTTTCTTTCTTCCTTCCTTCCTTCCTTCCTTCCTTCCTTCCTTCCTTCCTTTCTTTTCTTTCTTTCTCTTTCTTTTTGAGACAGAGCTCTTATTACCCATGCTGGAGTGCAGTGGTGTGACCTTGGCTTACTGCAACATCTGCCTCCTAGGGTCAAGTGATTCTCCTGCCTCAGCCTCCTAAGTAGCTGGGATTACAGACACATGCCACCACACCCAATATTTATTTTTATTAAAATTTTTTTTAAAATTATTTTTAAAAAATTAAAAATAATTTTGTATTTTTAGTAGAGACGGGGTTTCTCCATGTTGGTCAGGCTGATCTCAAACTCCCAACCTCAGGTGATCCTCCCACCTCACCTCCCAAAGTGCTGGGATTACAGGCATGAGCCACCGTGCCCAGCCTGGTTCCTGGTTTCTAAGACATCACACACACACACACACACACACACACACACTCACACACTCAGAGAGAGAGAGAGAGAGAGGATCATTAAGACATGATACACTAAGAAATTCTATTCTGCAGACACTGAGAATCCGTTAAAAAGTTTGAAGGGAAGAATTGAGATCATCAGGTGTTTATTTGAGGAAATTGTCTGTGGTTGAACTATCCTTTCCTTTCTCTCCCTGAGATTTGGTCTTCTCAATTAGAAGCGTTGCACAATTCCCCCAACCTCCATACATACGGCAGCTCTTCTAGACACAGGTTTTCCCAGGTCAAATGCGGGGACCCCAGCCATATCTCCCACCCTGAGAAATTTTGGAGTTTCAGGGAGCTCAGAAGCTCTGCAGAGGCCACCCTCTCTGAGGGGATTCTTCTTAGACCTCCATCCAGAGGCAAATGTTGACCTGTCCATGCTGAAACCCTCAGGCCTTCCTGGGTCATCTTCTCCCACCCGCTCCTTGATGACAGGGAGCAGGAGCACTAAAGCCACACCAGAAATGGATTCAGGACTGACAGGAGCCACCTTGTCACCTAAGACATCTACAGGTGCAATCGTGGTGACAGAACATACTCTGCCCTTTACTTCCCCAGATAAGACCTTGGCCAGTCCTACATCTTCGGTTGTGGGAAGAACCACCCAGTCTTTGGGGGTGATGTCCTCTGCTCTCCCTGAGTCAACCTCTAGAGGAATGACACACTCCGAGCAAAGAACCAGCCCATCGCTGAGTCCCCAGGTCAATGGAACTCCCTCTAGGAACTACCCTGCTACAAGCATGGTTTCAGGATTGAGTTCCCCAAGGACCAGGACCAGTTCCACAGAAGGAAATTTTACCAAAGAAGCATCTACATACACACTCACTGTAGAGACCACAAGTGGCCCAGTCACTGAGAAGTACACAGTCCCCACTGAGACCTCAACAACTGAAGGTGACAGCACAGAGACCCCCTGGGACACAAGATATATTCCTGTAAAAATCACATCTCCAATGAAAACATTTGCAGATTCAACTGCATCCAAGGAAAATGCCCCAGTGTCTATGACTCCAGCTGAGACCACAGTTACTGACTCACATACTCCAGGAAGGACAAACCCATCATTTGGGACACTTTATTCTTCCTTCCTTGACCTATCACCTAAAGGGACCCCAAATTCCAGAGGTGAAACAAGCCTGGAACTGATTCTATCAACCACTGGATATCCCTTCTCCTCTCCTGAACCTGGCTCTGCAGGACACAGCAGAATAAGTACCAGTGCGCCTTTGTCATCATCTGCTTCAGTTCTCGATAATAAAATATCAGAGACCAGCATATTCTCAGGCCAGAGTCTCACCTCCCCTCTGTCTCCTGGGGTGCCCGAGGCCAGAGCCAGCACAATGCCCAACTCAGCTATCCCTTTTTCCATGACACTAAGCAATGCAGAAACAAGTGCCGAAAGGGTCAGAAGCACAATTTCCTCTCTGGGGACTCCATCAATATCCACAAAGCAGACAGCAGAGACTATCCTTACCTTCCATGCCTTCGCTGAGACCATGGATATACCCAGCACCCACATAGCCAAGACTTTGGCTTCAGAATGGTTGGGAAGTCCAGGTACCCTTGGTGGCACCAGCACTTCAGCGCTGACAACCACATCTCCATCTACCACTTTAGTCTCAGAGGAGACCAACACCCATCACTCCACGAGTGGAAAGGAAACAGAAGGAACTTTGAATACATCTATGACTCCACTTGAGACCTCTGCTCCTGGAGAAGAGTCCGAAATGACTGCCACCTTGGTCCCCACTCTAGGTTTTACAACTCTTGACAGCAAGATCAGAAGTCCATCTCAGGTCTCTTCATCCCACCCAACAAGAGAGCTCAGAACCACAGGCAGCACCTCTGGGAGGCAGAGTTCCAGCACAGCTGCCCACGGGAGCTCTGACATCCTGAGGGCAACCACTTCCAGCACCTCAAAAGCATCATCATGGACCAGTGAAAGCACAGCTCAGCAATTTAGTGAACCCCAGCACACACAGTGGGTGGAGACAAGTCCTAGCATGAAAACAGAGAGACCCCCAGCATCAACCAGTGTGGCAGCCCCTATCACCACTTCTGTTCCCTCAGTGGTCTCTGGCTTCACCACCCTGAAGACCAGCTCCACAAAAGGGATTTGGCTTGAAGAAACATCTGCAGACACACTCATCGGAGAATCCACAGCTGGCCCAACCACCCATCAGTTTGCTGTTCCCACTGGGATTTCAATGACAGGAGGCAGCAGCACCAGGGGAAGCCAGGGCACAACCCACCTACTCACCAGAGCCACAGCATCATCTGAGACATCCGCAGATTTGACTCTGGCCACGAACGGTGTCCCAGTCTCCGTGTCTCCAGCAGTGAGCAAGACGGCTGCTGGCTCAAGTCCTCCAGGAGGGACAAAGCCATCATATACAATGGTTTCTTCTGTCATCCCTGAGACATCATCTCTACAGTCCTCAGCTTTCAGGGAAGGAACCAGCCTGGGACTGACTCCATTAAACACTAGACATCCCTTCTCTTCCCCTGAACCAGACTCTGCAGGACACACCAAGATAAGCACCAGCATTCCTCTGTTGTCATCTGCTTCAGTTCTTGAGGATAAAGTGTCAGCGACCAGCACATTCTCACACCACAAAGCCACCTCATCTATTACCACAGGGACTCCTGAAATCTCAACAAAGACAAAGCCCAGCTCAGCCGTTCTTTCCTCCATGACCCTAAGCAATGCAGCAACAAGTCCTGAAAGAGTCAGAAATGCAACTTCCCCTCTGACTCATCCATCTCCATCAGGGGAAGAGACAGCAGGGAGTGTCCTCACTCTCAGCACCTCTGCTGAGACTACAGACTCACCTAACATCCACCCAACTGGGACACTGACTTCAGAATCGTCAGAGAGTCCTAGCACTCTCAGCCTCCCAAGTGTCTCTGGAGTCAAAACCACATTTTCTTCATCTACTCCTTCCACTCATCTATTTACTAGTGGAGAAGAAACAGAGGAAACTTCGAATCCATCTGTGTCTCAACCTGAGACTTCTGTTTCCAGAGTAAGGACCACCTTGGCCAGCACCTCTGTCCCTACCCCAGTATTCCCCACCATGGACACCTGGCCTACACGTTCAGCTCAGTTCTCTTCATCCCACCTAGTGAGTGAGCTCAGAGCTACGAGCAGTACCTCAGTTACAAACTCAACTGGTTCAGCTCTTCCTAAAATATCTCACCTCACTGGGACGGCAACAATGTCACAGACCAATAGAGACACGTTTAATGACTCTGCTGCACCCCAAAGCACAACTTGGCCAGAGACTAGTCCCAGATTCAAGACAGGGTTACCTTCAGCAACAACCACTGTTTCAACCTCTGCCACTTCTCTCTCTGCTACTGTAATGGTCTCTAAATTCACTTCTCCAGCAACTAGTTCCATGGAAGCAACTTCTATCAGGGAACCATCAACAACCATCCTCACAACAGAGACCACGAATGGCCCAGGCTCTATGGCTGTGGCTTCTACCAACATCCCAATTGGAAAGGGCTACATTACTGAAGGAAGATTGGACACAAGCCATCTGCCCATTGGAACCACAGCTTCCTCTGAGACATCTATGGATTTTACCATGGCCAAAGAAAGTGTCTCAATGTCAGTATCTCCATCTCAGTCCATGGATGCTGCTGGCTCAAGCACTCCAGGAAGGACAAGCCAATTCGTTGACACATTTTCTGATGATGTCTATCATTTAACATCCAGAGAAATTACAATACCTAGAGATGGAACAAGCTCAGCTCTGACTCCACAAATGACTGCAACTCACCCTCCATCTCCTGATCCTGGCTCTGCTAGAAGCACCTGGCTTGGCATCTTGTCCTCATCTCCTTCTTCTCCTACTCCCAAAGTCACAATGAGCTCCACATTTTCAACTCAGAGAGTCACCACAAGCATGATAATGGACACAGTTGAAACTAGTCGGTGGAACATGCCCAACTTACCTTCCACGACTTCCTTGACACCAAGTAATATTCCAACAAGTGGTGCCATAGGAAAAAGCACCCTGGTTCCCTTGGACACTCCATCTCCAGCCACATCATTGGAGGCATCAGAAGGGGGACTTCCAACCCTCAGCACCTACCCTGAATCAACAAACACACCCAGCATCCACCTCGGAGCACACGCTAGTTCAGAAAGTCCAAGCACCATCAAACTTACCATGGCTTCAGTAGTAAAACCTGGCTCTTACACACCTCTCACCTTCCCCTCAATAGAGACCCACATTCATGTATCAACAGCCAGAATGGCTTACTCTTCTGGGTCTTCACCTGAGATGACAGCTCCTGGAGAGACTAACACTGGTAGTACCTGGGACCCCACCACCTACATCACCACTACGGATCCTAAGGATACAAGTTCAGCTCAGGTCTCTACACCCCACTCAGTGAGGACACTCAGAACCACAGAAAACCATCCAAAGACAGAGTCCGCCACCCCAGCTGCTTACTCTGGAAGTCCTAAAATCTCAAGTTCACCCAATCTCACCAGTCCGGCCACAAAAGCATGGACCATCACAGACACAACTGAACACTCCACTCAATTACATTACACAAAATTGGCAGAAAAATCATCTGGATTTGAGACACAGTCAGCTCCAGGACCTGTCTCTGTAGTAATCCCTACCTCCCCTACCATTGGAAGCAGCACATTGGAACTAACTTCTGATGTCCCAGGGGAACCCCTGGTCCTTGCTCCCAGTGAGCAGACCACAATCACTCTCCCCATGGCAACATGGCTGAGTACCAGTTTGACAGAGGAAATGGCTTCAACAGACCTTGATATTTCAAGTCCAAGTTCACCCATGAGTACATTTGCTATTTTTCCACCTATGTCCACACCTTCTCATGAACTTTCAAAGTCAGAGGCAGATACCAGTGCCATTAGAAATACAGATTCAACAACGTTGGATCAGCACCTAGGAATCAGGAGTTTGGGCAGAACTGGGGACTTAACAACTGTTCCTATCACCCCACTGACAACCACGTGGACCAGTGTGATTGAACACTCAACACAAGCACAGGACACCCTTTCTGCAACGATGAGTCCTACTCACGTGACACAGTCACTCAAAGATCAAACATCTATACCAGCCTCAGCATCCCCTTCCCATCTTACTGAAGTCTACCCTGAGCTCGGGACACAAGGGAGAAGCTCCTCTGAGGCAACCACTTTTTGGAAACCATCTACAGACACACTGTCCAGAGAGATTGAGACTGGCCCAACAAACATTCAATCCACTCCACCCATGGACAACACAACAACAGGGAGCAGTAGTAGTGGAGTCACCCTGGGCATAGCCCACCTTCCCATAGGAACATCCTCCCCAGCTGAGACATCCACAAACATGGCACTGGAAAGAAGAAGTTCTACAGCCACTGTCTCTATGGCTGGGACAATGGGACTCCTTGTTACTAGTGCTCCAGGAAGAAGCATCAGCCAGTCATTAGGAAGAGTTTCCTCTGTCCTTTCTGAGTCAACTACTGAAGGAGTCACAGATTCTAGTAAGGGAAGCAGCCCAAGGCTGAACACACAGGGAAATACAGCTCTCTCCTCCTCTCTTGAACCCAGCTATGCTGAAGGAAGCCAGATGAGCACAAGCATCCCTCTAACCTCATCTCCTACAACTCCTGATGTGGAATTCATAGGGGGCAGCACATTTTGGACCAAGGAGGTCACCACAGTTATGACCTCAGACATCTCCAAGTCTTCAGCAAGGACAGAGTCCAGCTCAGCTACCCTTATGTCCACAGCTTTGGGAAGCACTGAAAATACAGGAAAAGAAAAACTCAGAACTGCCTCTATGGATCTTCCATCTCCAACTCCATCAATGGAGGTGACACCATGGATTTCTCTCACTCTCAGTAATGCCCCCAATACCACAGATTCACTTGACCTCAGCCATGGGGTGCACACCAGCTCTGCAGGGACTTTGGCCACTGACAGGTCATTGAATACTGGTGTCACTAGAGCCTCCAGATTGGAAAACGGCTCTGATACCTCTTCTAAGTCCCTGTCTATGGGAAACAGCACTCACACTTCCATGACTTACACAGAGAAGAGTGAAGTGTCTTCTTCAATCCATCCCCGACCTGAGACCTCAGCTCCTGGAGCAGAGACCACTTTGACTTCCACTCCTGGAAACAGGGCCATAAGCTTAACATTGCCTTTTTCATCCATTCCAGTGGAAGAAGTCATTTCTACAGGCATAACCTCAGGACCAGACATCAACTCAGCACCCATGACACATTCTCCCATCACCCCACCAACAATTGTATGGACCAGTACAGGCACAATTGAACAGTCCACTCAACCACTACATGCAGTTTCTTCAGAAAAAGTTTCTGTGCAGACACAGTCAACTCCATATGTCAACTCTGTGGCAGTGTCTGCTTCCCCTACCCATGAGAATTCAGTCTCTTCTGGAAGCAGCACATCCTCTCCATATTCCTCAGCCTCACTTGAATCCTTGGATTCCACAATCAGTAGGAGGAATGCAATCACTTCCTGGCTATGGGACCTCACTACATCTCTCCCCACTACAACTTGGCCAAGTACTAGTTTATCTGAGGCACTGTCCTCAGGCCATTCTGGGGTTTCAAACCCAAGTTCAACTACGACTGAATTTCCACTCTTTTCAGCTGCATCCACATCTGCTGCTAAGCAAAGAAATCCAGAAACAGAGACCCATGGTCCCCAGAATACAGCCGCGAGTACTTTGAACACTGATGCATCCTCGGTCACAGGTCTTTCTGAGACTCCTGTGGGGGCAAGTATCAGCTCTGAAGTCCCTCTTCCAATGGCCATAACTTCTAGATCAGATGTTTCTGGCCTTACATCTGAGAGTACTGCTAACCCGAGTTTAGGCACAGCCTCTTCAGCAGGGACCAAATTAACTAGGACAATATCCCTGCCCACTTCAGAGTCTTTGGTTTCCTTTAGAATGAACAAGGATCCATGGACAGTGTCAATCCCTTTGGGGTCCCATCCAACTACTAATACAGAAACAAGCATCCCAGTAAACAGCGCAGGTCCACCTGGCTTGTCCACAGTAGCATCAGATGTAATTGACACACCTTCAGATGGGGCTGAGAGTATTCCCACTGTCTCCTTTTCCCCCTCCCCTGATACTGAAGTGACAACTATCTCACATTTCCCAGAAAAGACAACTCATTCATTTAGAACCATTTCATCTCTCACTCATGAGTTGACTTCAAGAGTGACACCTATTCCTGGGGATTGGATGAGTTCAGCTATGTCTACAAAGCCCACAGGAGCCAGTCCCTCCATTACACTGGGAGAGAGAAGGACAATCACCTCTGCTGCTCCAACCACTTCCCCCATAGTTCTCACTGCTAGTTTCACAGAGACCAGCACAGTTTCACTGGATAATGAAACTACAGTAAAAACCTCAGATATCCTTGACGCACGGAAAACAAATGAGCTCCCCTCAGATAGCAGTTCTTCTTCTGATCTGATCAACACCTCCATAGCTTCTTCAACTATGGATGTCACTAAAACAGCCTCCATCAGTCCCACTAGCATCTCAGGAATGACAGCAAGTTCCTCCCCATCTCTCTTCTCTTCAGATAGACCCCAGGTTCCCACATCTACAACAGAGACAAATACAGCCACCTCTCCATCTGTTTCCAGTAACACCTATTCTCTTGATGGGGGCTCCAATGTGGGTGGCACTCCATCCACTTTACCACCCTTTACAATCACCCACCCTGTCGAGACAAGCTCGGCCCTATTAGCCTGGTCTAGACCAGTAAGAACTTTCAGCACCATGGTCAGCACTGACACTGCCTCCGGAGAAAATCCTACCTCTAGCAATTCTGTGGTGACTTCTGTTCCAGCACCAGGTACATGGACCAGTGTAGGCAGTACTACTGACTTACCTGCCATGGGCTTTCTCAAGACAAGTCCTGCAGGAGAGGCACACTCACTTCTAGCATCAACTATTGAACCAGCCACTGCCTTCACTCCCCATCTCTCAGCAGCAGTGGTCACTGGATCCAGTGCTACATCAGAAGCCAGTCTTCTCACTACGAGTGAAAGCAAAGCCATTCATTCTTCACCACAGACCCCAACTACACCCACCTCTGGAGCAAACTGGGAAACTTCAGCTACTCCTGAGAGCCTTTTGGTAGTCACTGAGACTTCAGACACAACACTTACCTCAAAGATTTTGGTCACAGATACCATCTTGTTTTCAACTGTGTCCACGCCACCTTCTAAATTTCCAAGTACGGGGACTCTGTCTGGAGCTTCCTTCCCTACTTTACTCCCGGACACTCCAGCCATCCCTCTCACTGCCACTGAGCCAACAAGTTCATTAGCTACATCCTTTGATTCCACCCCACTGGTGACTATAGCTTCGGATAGTCTTGGCACAGTCCCAGAGACTACCCTGACCATGTCAGAGACCTCAAATGGTGATGCACTGGTTCTTAAGACAGTAAGTAACCCAGATAGGAGCATCCCTGGAATCACTATCCAAGGAGTAACAGAAAGTCCACTCCATCCTTCTTCCACTTCCCCCTCTAAGATTGTTGCTCCACGGAATACAACCTATGAAGGTTCGATCACAGTGGCACTTTCTACTTTGCCTGCGGGAACTACTGGTTCCCTTGTATTCAGTCAGAGTTCTGAAAACTCAGAGACAACGGCTTTGGTAGACTCATCAGCTGGGCTTGAGAGGGCATCTGTGATGCCACTAACCACAGGAAGCCAGGGTATGGCTAGCTCTGGAGGAATCAGAAGTGGGTCCACTCACTCAACTGGAACCAAAACATTTTCTTCTCTCCCTCTGACCATGAACCCAGGTGAGGTTACAGCCATGTCTGAAATCACCACGAACAGACTGACAGCTACTCAATCAACAGCACCCAAAGGGATACCTGTGAAGCCCACCAGTGCTGAGTCAGGCCTCCTAACACCTGTCTCTGCCTCCTCAAGCCCATCAAAGGCCTTTGCCTCACTGACTACAGCTCCCCCAACTTGGGGGATCCCACAGTCTACCTTGACATTTGAGTTTTCTGAGGTCCCAAGTTTGGATACTAAGTCCGCTTCTTTACCAACTCCTGGACAGTCCCTGAACACCATTCCAGACTCAGATGCAAGCACAGCATCTTCCTCACTGTCCAAGTCTCCAGAAAAAAACCCAAGGGCAAGGATGATGACTTCCACAAAGGCCATAAGTGCAAGCTCATTTCAATCAACAGGTTTTACTGAAACCCCTGAGGGATCTGCCTCCCCTTCTATGGCAGGGCATGAACCCAGAGTCCCCACTTCAGGAACAGGGGACCCTAGATATGCCTCAGAGAGCATGTCTTATCCAGACCCAAGCAAGGCATCATCAGCTATGACATCGACCTCTCTTGCATCAAAACTCACAACTCTCTTCAGCACAGGTCAAGCAGCAAGGTCTGGTTCTAGTTCCTCTCCCATAAGCCTATCCACTGAGAAAGAAACAAGCTTCCTTTCCCCCACTGCATCCACCTCCAGAAAGACTTCACTATTTCTTGGGCCTTCCATGGCAAGGCAGCCCAACATATTGGTGCATCTTCAGACTTCAGCTCTGACACTTTCTCCAACATCCACTCTAAATATGTCCCAGGAGGAGCCTCCTGAGTTAACCTCAAGCCAGACCATTGCAGAAGAAGAGGGAACAACAGCTGAAACACAGACGTTAACCTTCACACCATCTGAGACCCCAACATCCTTGTTACCTGTCTCTTCTCCCACAGAACCCACAGCCAGAAGAAAGAGTTCTCCAGAAACATGGGCAAGCTCTATTTCAGTTCCTGCCAAGACCTCCTTGGTTGAAAGTAAGAATGCCCTGCTCCTTCCCCAAGTGTGCTGGGGATGAATCTGGAAATAAACTACATCTTTTTTATTTTTTAAACTTTTATATTTGAAAATATAAATATTTTAGGTTCAGGGAACATGTGCAGGTTTGTTATATAGGTAAATTGCATGTCATGGGGGCTTGGGGTACAGATTACATCATCAGCCAGGTAATAAGCCTAGTACCTGATCAGTAGATTTTTTTTAATCCTCTCCCTCCTCCCAGCCTCCACCCTCAATTCACATGTCTCCATGTGTACTCAAGGTTTAATTCCCACTTATGAGTGAGAACATGCGGTATTTGTAAACTACATCTTTATTTTTGCTAACCTCGAACTGAAATTTAGCATTTGTTTTATTGATGAATAGAGGTAACAAAACAAACCACATTAATCCTAGCAGTGCCTGTGCCTTTGCCAACAACAGAAATTCCGGACACTTTCATATCCTATGACAATTGTTGCAAGCACTTTTAAAAATCATGTACGACTTTATTCATAATTATAGTGGTTATTAGGCTTTTCAATAGATCTTATTTAATGAGTTAGTAAAATAAGTGCCTGTATTATTGTATTACATTTGTTTATTAAGATCTTGATAACAACATTTCAATATAATCATTTCCTTTGTTTTTTAAATTTTAGATTCAGGGGTATATGTGCAGGTTTGTTACGTGGATATACTGCATAATGATGAGGTTTGGCTTCTAGTGAACCCATCAGCCAAATAGTGAATGTTGTGCCCAATAAGTAGTTTTTCAATCCTCACTTCACTCCCAGCCTCCTCTATTTTGGAGTCCCAGTGTCTATTATTTCTATCTTTATGTCCACATGTACCCATTGGTTAGCTCCCACTTATAAGTGAGAATGTGCAGTATTTAATTTTCTGTTTTTGAGTTATTTTGCTTAGGTTGATGGCCTTCAGCTCCAGCCACGTTGCTTTAAAGAACATGATTTCATTCTTTTTTATGGCTGCATAGTACTCCGAGGTGTATGTGTACCAGATTTTCTTTATCCACAATGATTTCCTTTGTAATCTAATATTTTATATTGTTATTTTATGTTTTATTCTATATTTTTATTTTAATTTATAAAGGAATTCATATGGTTCACAAGCCTGTCAAAGGGACCTATAATAAAAAGAGGTTAAGAATCCATGCTCTAAACAGAATATTACTCCATTTTATTTCATTTATTTTTAAAGAGACAGTCTCACTCTGTCATCCAGGCTGGAGTACAGTGGAGTGATCATAGCTCATTGCAACCCTGAACTCTTGGGCACAAGCAATTCTCCTGCTTCATCCTCCAGAGGAGCTGGGACTACAGGTGCACATCACCATGCCCAGCTAGTTTTAAAAATTATTTTGTAGAGATGGTGTCTCACTATCCTACCCAGGCTGGTCTCAAACTCCTGGGCTCAGGCAATCCTCCCACTTTGACCTCCCAAAGTGTTGAGATTACAGGGGCAAGCCACTGTGCCTGGCCACTTGTCACATTTTAATTTGTGATTACTTATAAAATGAACCCCTTCCCATCTGAGATCTGTCAGTCTTTCTGGTGACGGTGCCTGGTGTCTGCTTTCTACCATGTCCTGTTAGACTAGTGTTTGATGGGAGGTCACCTGGGCAGCTGTCCAGCTCACTCACTGGGCTCTAGAGCCTCTGAGTTGAAGCAAAATAGAAAGATCAGTCAATGTAAAGAAAGCTCAAAAACTGACATTCTGAAGTAATGGATAGCTAAACCTTCCTATTGCCCTTTTCTTTCAGCAACTGATGGAACGCTAGTGACCACCATAAAGATGTCAAGCCAGGCAGCACAAGGAAATTCCACGTGGCCTGCCCCAGCAGAGGAGACGGGGAGCAGTCCAGCAGGTAAATATAGACCTTGTTTCCATTTCTGCTCTGCTAATGCCACCCAAGCCTTTCTTTTCTTTTCTTTTCTTTTCTTTTCTTTTCTTTTCTTTTCTTTTCTTTTCTTTCTCTCCCTTTCTTTCTTTCTTTCTTTCTTTCTTTCTTTCTTTCTTTCTTTCTTTCTTTCTCTTTCTTTCTTTCTTTCTTTCTTTCTTTCTTTCTCTTTCTTTCTTCTTTCTCTCTCTCTCTTTCTTTCTTTCTCTTGTTCTTTTTAAATTTTTTATTTTTTTACTTAATTTTTTTCACCCAAGCCTTAAGGCCAATTTGGACCAGATAGTGAGACCCCACCTCTATAAAAAAATTTTTTTTAAAAAAAATAAGTTGGGCATCGTGCAGGCCTGTAGTCCCTGCTACTCGAGAGGCCAAGGTGGGAGGACAGCTTGCTGCTGACTAAAAGTGCTGCTTATTGATTCTGGGAAGAAAAAATATACAAGGCTTCAGTTTCATTATTTTATAAGTAAATGCTAGCAACTTTTCCTTTCTTTCTCTCTTTCTCTCTTCCTCTCTTTCTCTCCTCTCCTTCTCTTCTCTCTCTCTCTCTCTCTCTTTCTCTCTCCTCTCCTTCTCTTCTCTTCTTTCTCTCTCTCTCTCTTTCATTTATTTTTGAGACATGGTCTCATTCTGTCACCCAGGCTGGAGTACAGTGGTGTATATTTACTGCAGTACTCACTGTACTCACTGCAGCCTCAAATTCCTGGGCTCAAGCTATCCTCTCACCTCAGCCTCCTGAGTAGCTGGGCAGCAGTCCAGCTCACTCACTGGGCTCTAGAGCCTCTGTGCTATGCCCAGCTTATTGTTGTTGTTTTTTTAAATTTTTTTTTTTGTACAGATGGGGTCTCACTATGTGGCCCAAGGTGGTCTTAAACTCCTGGCTCCAAGAGATCCTCCCACCTCAGCCTCCCAAAGTGCAGGGATTACAGGTGTGAGCCACTGTGCCCAGCCTAGACCGCATTTTTTTTTTGAAACAGGGTCTCCCTCTGTTGCCCAGGCTGGAGTGCAATGGCGTGTTCATGGTTCACTGCAGCCTCAGCCTCCTCAGTCTCAAGCAATCCTCCAACTTCAGCCTCCCCCAACAGCTAGAACTGCAGGTGATCATCACCAATTAGCCTGGTTAATTGTGTGTGTATTTCTTAAATTTTTTGTAGAGATAGTTCTCACTATATTGCTTGGGCTGGTCTCAAACTCCTGGACTCAAGTGATTCACCTACCTCGGCCTCCCTAAGCACTGGGATTACAGGCTTGAGCCACCACACCCAGCAAGGACTAGGTTTTAAAATAGGTTCCTAGGCTGGGTGTGGTGGCTTACGCCCGTAATCCCAGCACTTTGGGAGGCTAAGGTGGGCGGATCACGAGGTCAGGAGTTTGAGACCAGCCTGGCCAACATAGTGAAACCCTGTCTCTACTAAAAATACAAAAAATTAGCTGGGCATAGTGGCACACACCTGTAATCCCAGCTACTTGGGAGGCTGAGGAAGGAGAATCACTTGAACCTGGGAGGCGGAGGTTGCAGTGAGCCGAGATCACGCCATTGCTCTCCAGCCTGGGTGACAGAGCAAGACTCCATCTAAAAAAAAAAAAAGTTCCTTTGACTTCTTGACACTCTTCTCTGAGGATATTGATCATTTTTCCCCAATAGATGTTACTAATTGAACACTTCTGTTGCTTCAACTTACTAATTTACATGATCAATAGCCAATTAATTCAGCAGGAGAGAATGCTACAGAGTCGATTCTTTCTGTACTTTCTTCTGCTCCAGAGTGAAGGATCTTTCTAAATCAGAGACCATCACTGTGTTCACAGGGAGGGCCTAGGTGAACCTGAGATGGCAAATGTTGCGTTTGTTACTACGGAAGAAGGGATTATGGGCTGAAGTCCTTGGCAGTGCCAAATTGCTTAGAAAAATGTGAAATATGGTCCCTAGGAGTGCTCTTGGGATGTCACATTTTTCTCACTCCTTTGACAGGTAGATGTTATTTTCCTGAAGGACAGGGAAAGGATTCAGAGGGAGGAATGAATTTGAAAGAAAATGAAGGTGACGAGAAAGAATGAGCTCATCTCCCTTATCCTCTTTCTTCTCAAATCCTTAAGTAGCTTTGCAGTGAACTAAGATTTGGGGGAACCTAGAGGAGGCTGAAAGTTGGAAGCTGAAATTGGTTTGGCAAGGGCAAGCTCCAAAGACAAAAGTGGAAATAGTTTGGGGGTAGCCTCTTGCATGGGTGAAGTCCTGGTTCATCACATCCTCCCTTATGCAAAGAGCCCTTTTATATGGGGCATGGGGAAAAACTGAGCTAAAGGTGATAATTTCTCCTGAGCAAGCCAGATGGTCAAAGCTCTAACTTCACCATCTCCCTTGGAATGTTTAATGTGTTCCCTGGTGTCCAGAGGCTTAAAGTGTGAGAATTAAAAGCTCAACATTTTCTTTCCCAGAGAAGGAGGAAATAGTTTTAATTGAAATCCCGGGAGGAAATGAATGATAGTGTCAAACCAAAAAACTTCATCTTCTGTACCATTTGCATATACTCCACTGACTTACTTTCTAATCACAGGCACATCCCCAGGAAGCCCAGAAATGTCTACCACTCTCAAAATCATGAGCTCCAAGGAACCCAGCATCAGCCCAGAGATCAGGTCCACTGTGAGAAATTCTCCTTGGAAGACTCCAGAAACAACTGTTCCCATGGAGACCACAGTGGAACCAGTCACCCTTCAGTCCACAGCCCTAGGAAGTGGCAGCACCAGCATCTCTCACCTGCCCACAGGAACCACATCACCAACCAAGTCACCAACAGAAAATATGTTGGCTACAGAAAGGGTCTCCCTCTCCCCATCCCCACCTGAGGCTTGGACCAACCTTTATTCTGGAACTCCAGGAGGGACCAGGCAGTCACTGGCCACAATGTCCTCTGTCTCCCTAGAGTCACCAACTGCTAGAAGCATCACAGGGACTGGTCAGCAAAGCAGTCCAGAACTGGTTTCAAAGACAACTGGAATGGAATTCTCTATGTGGCATGGCTCTACTGGAGGGACCACAGGGGACACACATGTCTCTCTGAGCACATCTTCCAATATCCTTGAAGACCCTGTAACCAGCCCAAACTCTGTGAGCTCATTGACAGATAAATCCAAACATAAAACCGAGACATGGGTAAGCACCACAGCCATTCCCTCCACTGTCCTGAATAATAAGATAATGGCAGCTGAACAACAGACAAGTCGATCTGTGGATGAGGCTTATTCATCAACTAGTTCTTGGTCAGATCAGACATCTGGGAGTGACATCACCCTTGGTGCATCTCCTGATGTCACAAACACATTATACATCACCTCCACAGCACAAACCACCTCACTAGTGTCTCTGCCCTCTGGAGACCAAGGCATTACAAGCCTCACCAATCCCTCAGGAGGAAAAACAAGCTCTGCGTCATCTGTCACATCTCCTTCAATAGGGCTTGAGACTCTGAGGGCCAATGTAAGTGCAGTGAAAAGTGACATTGCCCCTACTGCTGGGCATCTATCTCAGACTTCATCTCCTGCGGAAGTGAGCATCCTGGACGTAACCACAGCTCCTACTCCAGGTATCTCCACCACCATCACCACCATGGGAACCAACTCAATCTCAACTACCACACCCAACCCAGAAGTGGGTATGAGTACCATGGACAGCACCCCGGCCACAGAGAGGCGCACAACTTCTACAGAACACCCTTCCACCTGGTCTTCCACAGCTGCATCAGATTCCTGGACTGTCACAGACATGACTTCAAACTTGAAAGTTGCAAGATCTCCTGGAACAATTTCCACAATGCATACAACTTCATTCTTAGCCTCAAGCACTGAATTAGACTCCATGTCTACTCCCCATGGCCGTATAACTGTCATTGGAACCAGCCTGGTCACTCCATCCTCTGATGCTTCAGCTGTAAAGACAGAGACCAGTACAAGTGAAAGAACATTGAGTCCTTCAGACACAACTGCATCTACTCCCATCTCAACTTTTTCTCGTGTCCAGAGGATGAGCATCTCAGTTCCTGACATTTTAAGTACAAGTTGGACTCCCAGTAGTACAGAAGCAGAAGATGTGCCTGTTTCAATGGTTTCTACAGATCATGCTAGTACAAAGACTGACCCAAATACGCCCCTGTCCACTTTTCTGTTTGATTCTCTGTCCACTCTTGACTGGGACACTGGGAGATCTCTGTCATCAGCCACAGCCACTACCTCAGCTCCTCAGGGGGCCACAACTCCCCAGGAACTCACTTTGGAAACCATGATCAGCCCAGCTACCTCACAGTTGCCCTTCTCTATAGGGCACATTACAAGTGCAGTCACACCAGCTGCAATGGCAAGGAGCTCTGGAGTTACTTTTTCAAGACCAGATCCCACAAGCAAAAAGGCAGAGCAGACTTCCACTCAGCTTCCCACCACCACTTCTGCACATCCAGGGCAGGTGCCCAGATCAGCAGCAACAACTCTGGATGTGATCCCACACACAGCAAAAACTCCAGATGCAACTTTTCAGAGACAAGGGCAGACAGCTCTTACAACAGAGGCAAGAGCTACATCTGACTCCTGGAATGAGAAAGAAAAATCAACCCCAAGTGCACCTTGGATCACTGAGATGATGAATTCTGTCTCAGAAGATACCATCAAGGAGGTTACCAGCTCCTCCAGTGTATTAAGGACCCTGAATACGCTGGACATAAACTTGGAATCTGGGACGACTTCATCCCCAAGTTGGAAAAGCAGCCCATATGAGAGAATTGCCCCTTCTGAGTCCACCACAGACAAAGAGGCAATTCACCCTTCTACAAACACAGTAGAGACCACAGGCTGGGTCACAAGTTCCGAACATGCTTCTCATTCCACTATCCCAGCCCACTCAGCGTCATCCAAACTCACATCTCCAGTGGTTACAACCTCCACCAGGGAACAAGCAATAGTTTCTATGTCAACAACCACATGGCCAGAGTCTACAAGGGCTAGAACAGAGCCTAATTCCTTCTTGACTATTGAACTGAGGGACGTCAGCCCTTACATGGACACCAGCTCAACCACACAAACAAGTATTATCTCTTCCCCAGGTTCCACTGCGATCACCAAGGGGCCTAGAACAGAAATTACCTCCTCTAAGAGAATATCCAGCTCATTCCTTGCCCAGTCTATGAGGTCGTCAGACAGCCCCTCAGAAGCCATCACCAGGCTGTCTAACTTTCCTGCCATGACAGAATCTGGAGGAATGATCCTTGCTATGCAAACAAGTCCACCTGGCGCTACATCACTAAGTGCACCTACTTTGGATACATCAGCCACAGCCTCCTGGACAGGGACTCCACTGGCTACGACTCAGAGATTTACATACTCAGAGAAGACCACTCTCTTTAGCAAAGGTCCTGAGGATACATCACAGCCAAGCCCTCCCTCTGTGGAAGAAACCAGCTCTTCCTCTTCCCTGGTACCTATCCATGCTACAACCTCGCCTTCCAATATTTTGTTGACATCACAAGGGCACAGTCCCTCCTCTACTCCACCTGTGACCTCAGTTTTCTTGTCTGAGACCTCTGGCCTGGGGAAGACCACAGACATGTCGAGGATAAGCTTGGAACCTGGCACAAGTTTACCTCCCAATTTGAGCAGTACAGCAGGTGAGGCGTTATCCACTTATGAAGCCTCCAGAGATACAAAGGCAATTCATCATTCTGCAGACACAGCAGTGACGAATATGGAGGCAACCAGTTCTGAATATTCTCCTATCCCAGGCCATACAAAGCCATCCAAAGCCACATCTCCATTGGTTACCTCCCACATCATGGGGGACATCACTTCTTCCACATCAGTATTTGGCTCCTCCGAGACCACAGAGATTGAGACAGTGTCCTCTGTGAACCAGGGACTTCAGGAGAGAAGCACATCCCAGGTGGCCAGCTCTGCTACAGAGACAAGCACTGTCATTACCCATGTGTCTAGTGGTGATGCTACTACTCATGTCACCAAGACACAAGCCACTTTCTCTAGCGGAACATCCATCTCAAGCCCTCATCAGTTTATAACTTCTACCAACACATTTACAGATGTGAGCACCAACCCCTCCACCTCTCTGATAATGACAGAATCTTCAGGAGTGACCATCACCACCCAAACAGGTCCTACTGGAGCTGCAACACAGGGTCCATATCTCTTGGACACATCAACCATGCCTTACTTGACAGAGACTCCATTAGCTGTGACTCCAGATTTTATGCAATCAGAGAAGACCACTCTCATAAGCAAAGGTCCCAAGGATGTGTCCTGGACAAGCCCTCCCTCTGTGGCAGAAACCAGCTATCCCTCTTCCCTGACACCTTTCTTGGTCACAACCATACCTCCTGCCACTTCCACGTTACAAGGGCAACATACATCCTCTCCTGTTTCTGCGACTTCAGTTCTTACCTCTGGACTGGTGAAGACCACAGATATGTTGAACACAAGCATGGAACCTGTGACCAATTCACCTCAAAATTTGAACAATCCATCAAATGAGATACTGGCCACTTTGGCAGCCACCACAGATATAGAGACTATTCATCCTTCCATAAACAAAGCAGTGACCAATATGGGGACTGCCAGTTCAGCACATGTACTGCATTCCACTCTCCCAGTCAGCTCAGAACCATCTACAGCCACATCTCCAATGGTTCCTGCCTCCAGCATGGGGGACGCTCTTGCTTCTATATCAATACCTGGTTCTGAGACCACAGACATTGAGGGAGAGCCAACATCCTCCCTGACTGCTGGACGAAAAGAGAACAGCACCCTCCAGGAGATGAACTCAACTACAGAGTCAAACATCATCCTCTCCAATGTGTCTGTGGGGGCTATTACTGAAGCCACAAAAATGGAAGTCCCCTCTTTTGATGCAACATTCATACCAACTCCTGCTCAGTCAACAAAGTTCCCAGATATTTTCTCAGTAGCCAGCAGTAGACTTTCAAACTCTCCTCCCATGACAATATCTACCCACATGACCACCACCCAGACAGGGTCTTCTGGAGCTACATCAAAGATTCCACTTGCCTTAGACACATCAACCTTGGAAACCTCAGCAGGGACTCCATCAGTGGTGACTGAGGGGTTTGCCCACTCAAAAATAACCACTGCAATGAACAATGATGTCAAGGACGTGTCACAGACAAACCCTCCCTTTCAGGATGAAGCCAGCTCTCCCTCTTCTCAAGCACCTGTCCTTGTCACAACCTTACCTTCTTCTGTTGCTTTCACACCGCAATGGCACAGTACCTCCTCTCCTGTTTCTATGTCCTCAGTTCTTACTTCTTCACTGGTAAAGACCGCAGGCAAGGTGGATACAAGCTTAGAAACAGTGACCAGTTCACCTCAAAGTATGAGCAACACTTTGGATGACATATCGGTCACTTCAGCAGCCACCACAGATATAGAGACAACGCATCCTTCCATAAACACAGTAGTTACCAATGTGGGGACCACCGGTTCAGCATTTGAATCACATTCTACTGTCTCAGCTTACCCAGAGCCATCTAAAGTCACATCTCCAAATGTTACCACCTCCACCATGGAAGACACCACAATTTCCAGATCAATACCTAAATCCTCTAAGACTACAAGAACTGAGACTGAGACAACTTCCTCCCTGACTCCTAAACTGAGGGAGACCAGCATCTCCCAGGAGATCACCTCGTCCACAGAGACAAGCACTGTTCCTTACAAAGAGCTCACTGGTGCCACTACCGAGGTATCCAGGACAGATGTCACTTCCTCTAGCAGTACATCCTTCCCTGGCCCTGATCAGTCCACAGTGTCACTAGACATCTCCACAGAAACCAACACCAGGCTGTCTACCTCCCCAATAATGACAGAATCTGCAGAAATAACCATCACCACCCAAACAGGTCCTCATGGGGCTACATCACAGGATACTTTTACCATGGACCCATCAAATACAACCCCCCAGGCAGGGATCCACTCAGCTATGACTCATGGATTTTCACAATTGGATGTGACCACTCTTATGAGCAGAATTCCACAGGATGTATCATGGACAAGTCCTCCCTCTGTGGATAAAACCAGCTCCCCCTCTTCCTTTCTGTCCTCACCTGCAATGACCACACCTTCCCTGATTTCTTCTACCTTACCAGAGGATAAGCTCTCCTCTCCTATGACTTCACTTCTCACCTCTGGCCTAGTGAAGATTACAGACATATTACGTACACGCTTGGAACCTGTGACCAGCTCACTTCCAAATTTCAGCAGCACCTCAGATAAGATACTGGCCACTTCTAAAGACAGTAAAGACACAAAGGAAATTTTTCCTTCTATAAACACAGAAGAGACCAATGTGAAAGCCAACAACTCTGGACATGAATCCCATTCCCCTGCACTGGCTGACTCAGAGACACCCAAAGCCACAACTCAAATGGTTATCACCACCACTGTGGGAGATCCAGCTCCTTCCACATCAATGCCAGTGCATGGTTCCTCTGAGACTACAAACATTAAGAGAGAGCCAACATATTTCTTGACTCCTAGACTGAGAGAGACCAGTACCTCTCAGGAGTCCAGCTTTCCCACGGACACAAGTTTTCTACTTTCCAAAGTCCCCACTGGTACTATTACTGAGGTCTCCAGTACAGGGGTCAACTCTTCTAGCAAAATTTCCACCCCAGACCATGATAAGTCCACAGTGCCACCTGACACCTTCACAGGAGAGATCCCCAGGGTCTTCACCTCCTCTATTAAGACAAAATCTGCAGAAATGACGATCACCACCCAAGCAAGTCCTCCTGAGTCTGCATCGCACAGTACCCTTCCCTTGGACACATCAACCACACTTTCCCAGGGAGGGACTCATTCAACTGTGACTCAGGGATTCCCATACTCAGAGGTGACCACTCTCATGGGCATGGGTCCTGGGAATGTGTCATGGATGACAACTCCCCCTGTGGAAGAAACCAGCTCTGTGTCTTCCCTGATGTCTTCACCTGCCATGACATCCCCTTCTCCTGTTTCCTCCACATCACCACAGAGCATCCCCTCCTCTCCTCTTCCTGTGACTGCACTTCCTACTTCTGTTCTGGTGACAACCACAGATGTGTTGGGCACAACAAGCCCAGAGTCTGTAACCAGTTCACCTCCAAATTTGAGCAGCATCACTCATGAGAGACCGGCCACTTACAAAGACACTGCACACACAGAAGCCGCCATGCATCATTCCACAAACACCGCAGTGACCAATGTAGGGACTTCCGGGTCTGGACATAAATCACAATCCTCTGTCCTAGCTGACTCAGAGACATCGAAAGCCACACCTCTGATGAGTACCACCTCCACCCTGGGGGACACAAGTGTTTCCACATCAACTCCTAATATCTCTCAGACTAACCAAATTCAAACAGAGCCAACAGCATCCCTGAGCCCTAGACTGAGGGAGAGCAGCACGTCTGAGAAGACCAGCTCAACAACAGAGACAAATACTGCCTTTTCTTATGTGCCCACAGGTGCTATTACTCAGGCCTCCAGAACAGAAATCTCCTCTAGCAGAACATCCATCTCAGACCTTGATCGGCCCACAATAGCACCCGACATCTCCACAGGAATGATCACCAGGCTCTTCACCTCCCCCATCATGACAAAATCTGCAGAAATGACCGTCACCACTCAAACAACTACTCCTGGGGCTACATCACAGGGTATCCTTCCCTGGGACACATCAACCACACTTTTCCAGGGAGGGACTCATTCAACCGTGTCTCAGGGATTCCCACACTCAGAGATAACCACTCTTCGGAGCAGAACCCCTGGAGATGTGTCATGGATGACAACTCCCCCTGTGGAAGAAACCAGCTCTGGGTTTTCCCTGATGTCACCTTCCATGACATCCCCTTCTCCTGTTTCCTCCACATCACCAGAGAGCATCCCCTCCTCTCCTCTCCCTGTGACTGCACTTCTTACTTCTGTTCTGGTGACAACCACAAATGTATTGGGCACAACAAGCCCAGAGCCCGTAACGAGTTCACCTCCAAATTTAAGCAGCCCCACACAGGAGAGACTGACCACTTACAAAGACACTGCGCACACAGAAGCCATGCATGCTTCCATGCATACAAACACTGCAGTGGCCAACGTGGGGACCTCCATTTCTGGACATGAATCACAATCTTCTGTCCCAGCTGATTCACACACATCCAAAGCCACATCTCCAATGGGTATCACCTTCGCCATGGGGGATACAAGTGTTTCTACATCAACTCCTGCCTTCTTTGAGACTAGAATTCAGACTGAATCAACATCCTCTTTGATTCCTGGATTAAGGGACACCAGGACGTCTGAGGAGATCAACACTGTGACAGAGACCAGCACTGTCCTTTCAGAAGTGCCCACTACTACTACTACTGAGGTCTCCAGGACAGAAGTTATCACTTCCAGCAGAACAACCATCTCAGGGCCTGATCATTCCAAAATGTCACCCTACATCTCCACAGAAACCATCACCAGGCTCTCCACTTTTCCTTTTGTAACAGGATCCACAGAAATGGCCATCACCAACCAAACAGGTCCTATAGGGACTATCTCACAGGCTACCCTTACCCTGGACACATCAAGCACAGCTTCCTGGGAAGGGACTCACTCACCTGTGACTCAGAGATTTCCACACTCAGAGGAGACCACTACTATGAGCAGAAGTACTAAGGGCGTGTCATGGCAAAGCCCTCCCTCTGTGGAAGAAACCAGTTCTCCTTCTTCCCCAGTGCCTTTACCTGCAATAACCTCACATTCATCTCTTTATTCCGCAGTATCAGGAAGTAGCCCCACTTCTGCTCTCCCTGTGACTTCCCTTCTCACCTCTGGCAGGAGGAAGACCATAGACATGTTGGACACACACTCAGAACTTGTGACCAGCTCCTTACCAAGTGCAAGTAGCTTCTCAGGTGAGATACTCACTTCTGAAGCCTCCACAAATACAGAGACAATTCACTTTTCAGAGAACACAGCAGAAACCAATATGGGGACCACCAATTCTATGCATAAACTACATTCCTCTGTCTCAATCCACTCCCAGCCATCCGGACACACACCTCCAAAGGTTACTGGATCTATGATGGAGGACGCTATTGTTTCCACATCAACACCTGGTTCTCCTGAGACTAAAAATGTTGACAGAGACTCAACATCCCCTCTGACTCCTGAACTGAAAGAGGACAGCACCGCCCTGGTGATGAACTCAACTACAGAGTCAAACACTGTTTTCTCCAGTGTGTCCCTGGATGCTGCTACTGAGGTCTCCAGGGCAGAAGTCACCTACTATGATCCTACATTCATGCCAGCTTCTGCTCAGTCAACAAAGTCCCCAGACATTTCACCTGAAGCCAGCAGCAGTCATTCTAACTCTCCTCCCTTGACAATATCTACACACAAGACCATCGCCACACAAACAGGTCCTTCTGGGGTGACATCTCTTGGCCAACTGACCCTGGACACATCAACCATAGCCACCTCAGCAGGAACTCCATCAGCCAGAACTCAGGATTTTGTAGATTCAGAAACAACCAGTGTCATGAACAATGATCTCAATGATGTGTTGAAGACAAGCCCTTTCTCTGCAGAAGAAGCCAACTCTCTCTCTTCTCAGGCACCTCTCCTTGTGACAACCTCACCTTCTCCTGTAACTTCCACATTGCAAGAGCACAGTACCTCCTCTCTTGTTTCTGTGACCTCAGTACCCACCCCTACACTGGCGAAGATCACAGACATGGACACAAACTTAGAACCTGTGACTCGTTCACCTCAAAATTTAAGGAACACCTTGGCCACTTCAGAAGCCACCACAGATACACACACAATGCATCCTTCTATAAACACAGCAGTGGCCAATGTGGGGACCACCAGTTCACCAAATGAATTCTATTTTACTGTCTCACCTGACTCAGACCCATATAAAGCCACATCCGCAGTAGTTATCACTTCCACCTCGGGGGACTCAATAGTTTCCACATCAATGCCTAGATCCTCTGCGATGAAAAAGATTGAGTCTGAGACAACTTTCTCCCTGATATTTAGACTGAGGGAGACTAGCACCTCCCAGAAAATTGGCTCATCCTCAGACACAAGCACGGTCTTTGACAAAGCATTCACTGCTGCTACTACTGAGGTCTCCAGAACAGAACTCACCTCCTCTAGCAGAACATCCATCCAAGGCACTGAAAAGCCCACAATGTCACCGGACACCTCCACAAGATCTGTCACCATGCTTTCTACTTTTGCTGGCCTGACAAAATCCGAAGAAAGGACCATTGCCACCCAAACAGGTCCTCATAGGGCGACATCACAGGGTACCCTTACCTGGGACACATCAATCACAACCTCACAGGCAGGGACCCACTCAGCTATGACTCATGGATTTTCACAATTAGATTTGTCCACTCTTACGAGTAGAGTTCCTGAGTACATATCAGGGACAAGCCCACCCTCTGTGGAAAAAACCAGCTCTTCCTCTTCCCTTCTGTCTTTACCAGCAATAACCTCACCGTCCCCTGTACCTACTACATTACCAGAAAGTAGGCCGTCTTCTCCTGTTCATCTGACTTCACTCCCCACCTCTGGCCTAGTGAAGACCACAGATATGCTGGCATCTGTGGCCAGTTTACCTCCAAACTTGGGCAGCACCTCACATAAGATACCGACTACTTCAGAAGACATTAAAGATACAGAGAAAATGTATCCTTCCACAAACATAGCAGTAACCAATGTGGGGACCACCACTTCTGAAAAGGAATCTTATTCGTCTGTCCCAGCCTACTCAGAACCACCCAAAGTCACCTCTCCAATGGTTACCTCTTTCAACATAAGGGACACCATTGTTTCCACATCCATGCCTGGCTCCTCTGAGATTACAAGGATTGAGATGGAGTCAACATTCTCCCTGGCTCATGGGCTGAAGGGAACCAGCACCTCCCAGGACCCCATCGTATCCACAGAGAAAAGTGCTGTCCTTCACAAGTTGACCACTGGTGCTACTGAGACCTCTAGGACAGAAGTTGCCTCTTCTAGAAGAACATCCATTCCAGGCCCTGATCATTCCACAGAGTCACCAGACATCTCCACTGAAGTGATCCCCAGCCTGCCTATCTCCCTTGGCATTACAGAATCTTCAAATATGACCATCATCACTCGAACAGGTCCTCCTCTTGGCTCTACATCACAGGGCACATTTACCTTGGACACACCAACTACATCCTCCAGGGCAGGAACACACTCGATGGCGACTCAGGAATTTCCACACTCAGAAATGACCACTGTCATGAACAAGGACCCTGAGATTCTATCATGGACAATCCCTCCTTCTATAGAGAAAACCAGCTTCTCCTCTTCCCTGATGCCTTCACCAGCCATGACTTCACCTCCTGTTTCCTCAACATTACCAAAGACCATTCACACCACTCCTTCTCCTATGACCTCACTGCTCACCCCTAGCCTAGTGATGACCACAGACACATTGGGCACAAGCCCAGAACCTACAACCAGTTCACCTCCAAATTTGAGCAGTACCTCACATGAGATACTGACAACAGATGAAGACACCACAGCTATAGAAGCCATGCATCCTTCCACAAGCACAGCAGCGACTAATGTGGAAACCACCAGTTCTGGACATGGGTCACAATCCTCTGTCCTAGCTGACTCAGAAAAAACCAAGGCCACAGCTCCAATGGATACCACCTCCACCATGGGGCATACAACTGTTTCCACATCAATGTCTGTTTCCTCTGAGACTACAAAAATTAAGAGAGAGTCAACATATTCCTTGACTCCTGGACTGAGAGAGACCAGCATTTCCCAAAATGCCAGCTTTTCCACTGACACAAGTATTGTTCTTTCAGAAGTCCCCACTGGTACTACTGCTGAGGTCTCCAGGACAGAAGTCACCTCCTCTGGTAGAACATCCATCCCTGGCCCTTCTCAGTCCACAGTTTTGCCAGAAATATCCACAAGAACAATGACAAGGCTCTTTGCCTCGCCCACCATGACAGAATCAGCAGAAATGACCATCCCCACTCAAACAGGTCCTTCTGGGTCTACCTCACAGGATACCCTTACCTTGGACACATCCACCACAAAGTCCCAGGCAAAGACTCATTCAACTTTGACTCAGAGATTTCCACACTCAGAGATGACCACTCTCATGAGCAGAGGTCCTGGAGATATGTCATGGCAAAGCTCTCCCTCTCTGGAAAATCCCAGCTCTCTCCCTTCCCTGCTGTCTTTACCTGCCACAACCTCACCTCCTCCCATTTCCTCCACATTACCAGTGACTATCTCCTCCTCTCCTCTTCCTGTGACTTCACTTCTCACCTCTAGCCCGGTAACGACCACAGACATGTTACACACAAGCCCAGAACTTGTAACCAGTTCACCTCCAAAGCTGAGCCACACTTCAGATGAGAGACTGACCACTGGCAAGGACACCACAAATACAGAAGCTGTGCATCCTTCCACAAACACAGCAGCGTCCAATGTGGAGATTCCCAGCTCTGGACATGAATCCCCTTCCTCTGCCTTAGCTGACTCAGAGACATCCAAAGCCACATCACCAATGTTTATTACCTCCACCCAGGAGGATACAACTGTTGCCATATCAACCCCTCACTTCTTGGAGACTAGCAGAATTCAGAAAGAGTCAATTTCCTCCCTGAGCCCTAAATTGAGGGAGACAGGCAGTTCTGTGGAGACAAGCTCAGCCATAGAGACAAGTGCTGTCCTTTCTGAAGTGTCCATTGGTGCTACTACTGAGATCTCCAGGACAGAAGTCACCTCCTCTAGCAGAACATCCATCTCTGGTTCTGCTGAGTCCACAATGTTGCCAGAAATATCCACCACAAGAAAAATCATTAAGTTCCCTACTTCCCCCATCCTGGCAGAATCATCAGAAATGACCATCAAGACCCAAACAAGTCCTCCTGGGTCTACATCAGAGAGTACCTTTACATTAGACACATCAACCACTCCCTCCTTGGTAATAACCCATTCGACTATGACTCAGAGATTGCCACACTCAGAGATAACCACTCTTGTGAGTAGAGGTGCTGGGGATGTGCCACGGCCCAGCTCTCTCCCTGTGGAAGAAACAAGCCCTCCATCTTCCCAGCTGTCTTTATCTGCCATGATCTCACCTTCTCCTGTTTCTTCCACATTACCAGCAAGTAGCCACTCCTCTTCTGCTTCTGTGACTTCACTTCTCACACCAGGCCAAGTGAAGACTACTGAGGTGTTGGACGCAAGTGCAGAACCTGAAACCAGTTCACCTCCAAGTTTGAGCAGCACCTCAGTTGAAATACTGGCCACCTCTGAAGTCACCACAGATACGGAGAAAATTCATCCTTTCTCAAACACGGCAGTAACCAAAGTTGGAACTTCCAGTTCTGGACATGAATCCCCTTCCTCTGTCCTACCTGACTCAGAGACAACCAAAGCCACATCGGCAATGGGTACCATCTCCATTATGGGGGATACAAGTGTTTCTACATTAACTCCTGCCTTATCTAACACTAGGAAAATTCAGTCAGAGCCAGCTTCCTCACTGACCACCAGATTGAGGGAGACCAGCACCTCTGAAGAGACCAGCTTAGCCACAGAAGCAAACACTGTTCTTTCTAAAGTGTCCACTGGTGCTACTACTGAGGTCTCCAGGACAGAAGCCATCTCCTTTAGCAGAACATCCATGTCAGGCCCTGAGCAGTCCACAATGTCACAAGACATCTCCATAGGAACCATCCCCAGGATTTCTGCCTCCTCTGTCCTGACAGAATCTGCAAAAATGACCATCACAACCCAAACAGGTCCTTCGGAGTCTACACTAGAAAGTACCCTTAATTTGAACACAGCAACCACACCCTCTTGGGTGGAAACCCACTCTATAGTAATTCAGGGATTTCCACACCCAGAGATGACCACTTCCATGGGCAGAGGTCCTGGAGGTGTGTCATGGCCTAGCCCTCCCTTTGTGAAAGAAACCAGCCCTCCATCCTCCCCGCTGTCTTTACCTGCCGTGACCTCACCTCATCCTGTTTCCACCACATTCCTAGCACATATCCCCCCCTCTCCCCTTCCTGTGACTTCACTTCTCACCTCTGGCCCGGCGACAACCACAGATATCTTGGGTACAAGCACAGAACCTGGAACCAGTTCATCTTCAAGTTTGAGCACCACCTCCCATGAGAGACTGACCACTTACAAAGACACTGCACATACAGAAGCCGTGCATCCTTCCACAAACACAGGAGGGACCAATGTGGCAACCACCAGCTCTGGATATAAATCACAGTCCTCTGTCCTAGCTGACTCATCTCCAATGTGTACCACCTCCACCATGGGGGATACAAGTGTTCTCACATCAACTCCTGCCTTCCTTGAGACTAGGAGGATTCAGACAGAGCTAGCTTCCTCCCTGACCCCTGGATTGAGGGAGTCCAGCGGCTCTGAAGGGACCAGCTCAGGCACCAAGATGAGCACTGTCCTCTCTAAAGTGCCCACTGGTGCTACTACTGAGATCTCCAAGGAAGACGTCACCTCCATCCCAGGTCCCGCTCAATCCACAATATCACCAGACATCTCCACAAGAACCGTCAGCTGGTTCTCTACATCCCCTGTCATGACAGAATCAGCAGAAATAACCATGAACACCCATACAAGTCCTTTAGGGGCCACAACACAAGGCACCAGTACTTTGGACACGTCAAGCACAACCTCTTTGACAATGACACACTCAACTATATCTCAAGGATTTTCACACTCACAGATGAGCACTCTTATGAGGAGGGGTCCTGAGGATGTATCATGGATGAGCCCTCCCCTTCTGGAAAAAACTAGACCTTCCTTTTCTCTGATGTCTTCACCAGCCACAACTTCACCTTCTCCTGTTTCCTCCACATTACCAGAGAGCATCTCTTCCTCTCCTCTTCCTGTGACTTCACTCCTCACGTCTGGCTTGGCAAAAACTACAGATATGTTGCACAAAAGCTCAGAACCTGTAACCAACTCACCTGCAAATTTGAGCAGCACCTCAGTTGAAATACTGGCCACCTCTGAAGTCACCACAGATACAGAGAAAACTCATCCTTCTTCAAACAGAACAGTGACCGATGTGGGGACCTCCAGTTCTGGACATGAATCCACTTCCTTTGTCCTAGCTGACTCACAGACATCCAAAGTCACATCTCCAATGGTTATTACCTCCACCATGGAGGATACGAGTGTCTCCACATCAACTCCTGGCTTTTTTGAGACTAGCAGAATTCAGACAGAACCAACATCCTCCCTGACCCTTGGACTGAGAAAGACCAGCAGCTCTGAGGGGACCAGCTTAGCCACAGAGATGAGCACTGTCCTTTCTGGAGTGCCCACTGGTGCCACTGCTGAAGTCTCCAGGACAGAAGTCACCTCCTCTAGCAGAACATCCATCTCAGGCTTTGCTCAGCTCACAGTGTCACCAGAGACTTCCACAGAAACCATCACCAGACTCCCTACCTCCAGCATAATGACAGAATCAGCAGAAATGATGATCAAGACACAAACAGATCCTCCTGGGTCTACACCAGAGAGTACTCATACTGTGGACATATCAACAACACCCAACTGGGTAGAAACCCACTCGACTGTGACTCAGAGATTTTCACACTCAGAGATGACCACTCTTGTGAGCAGAAGCCCTGGTGATATGTTATGGCCTAGTCAATCCTCTGTGGAAGAAACCAGCTCTGCCTCTTCCCTGCTGTCTCTGCCTGCCACGACCTCACCTTCTCCTGTTTCCTCTACATTAGTAGAGGATTTCCCTTCCGCTTCTCTTCCTGTGACTTCTCTTCTCAACCCTGGCCTGGTGATAACCACAGACAGGATGGGCATAAGCAGAGAACCTGGAACCAGTTCCACTTCAAATTTGAGCAGCACCTCCCATGAGAGACTGACCACTTTGGAAGACACTGTAGATACAGAAGACATGCAGCCTTCCACACACACAGCAGTGACCAACGTGAGGACCTCCATTTCTGGACATGAATCACAATCTTCTGTCCTATCTGACTCAGAGACACCCAAAGCCACATCTCCAATGGGTACCACCTACACCATGGGGGAAACGAGTGTTTCCATATCCACTTCTGACTTCTTTGAGACCAGCAGAATTCAGATAGAACCAACATCCTCCCTGACTTCTGGATTGAGGGAGACCAGCAGCTCTGAGAGGATCAGCTCAGCCACAGAGGGAAGCACTGTCCTTTCTGAAGTGCCCAGTGGTGCTACCACTGAGGTCTCCAGGACAGAAGTGATATCCTCTAGGGGAACATCCATGTCAGGGCCTGATCAGTTCACCATATCACCAGACATCTCTACTGAAGCGATCACCAGGCTTTCTACTTCCCCCATTATGACAGAATCAGCAGAAAGTGCCATCACTATTGAGACAGGTTCTCCTGGGGCTACATCAGAGGGTACCCTCACCTTGGACACCTCAACAACAACCTTTTGGTCAGGGACCCACTCAACTGCATCTCCAGGATTTTCACACTCAGAGATGACCACTCTTATGAGTAGAACTCCTGGAGATGTGCCATGGCCGAGCCTTCCCTCTGTGGAAGAAGCCAGCTCTGTCTCTTCCTCACTGTCTTCACCTGCCATGACCTCAACTTCTTTTTTCTCCACATTACCAGAGAGCATCTCCTCCTCTCCTCATCCTGTGACTGCACTTCTCACCCTTGGCCCAGTGAAGACCACAGACATGTTGCGCACAAGCTCAGAACCTGAAACCAGTTCACCTCCAAATTTGAGCAGCACCTCAGCTGAAATATTAGCCACGTCTGAAGTCACCAAAGATAGAGAGAAAATTCATCCCTCCTCAAACACACCTGTAGTCAATGTAGGGACTGTGATTTATAAACATCTATCCCCTTCCTCTGTTTTGGCTGACTTAGTGACAACAAAACCCACATCTCCAATGGCTACCACCTCCACTCTGGGGAATACAAGTGTTTCCACATCAACTCCTGCCTTCCCAGAAACTATGATGACACAGCCAACTTCCTCCCTGACTTCTGGATTAAGGGAGATCAGTACCTCTCAAGAGACCAGCTCAGCAACAGAGAGAAGTGCTTCTCTTTCTGGAATGCCCACTGGTGCTACTACTAAGGTCTCCAGAACAGAAGCCCTCTCCTTAGGCAGAACATCCACCCCAGGTCCTGCTCAATCCACAATATCACCAGAAATCTCCACGGAAACCATCACTAGAATTTCTACTCCCCTCACCACGACAGGATCAGCAGAAATGACCATCACCCCCAAAACAGGTCATTCTGGGGCATCCTCACAAGGTACCTTTACCTTGGACACATCAAGCAGAGCCTCCTGGCCAGGAACTCACTCAGCTGCAACTCACAGATCTCCACACTCAGGGATGACCACTCCTATGAGCAGAGGTCCTGAGGATGTGTCATGGCCAAGCCGCCCATCAGTGGAAAAAACTAGCCCTCCATCTTCCCTGGTGTCTTTATCTGCAGTAACCTCACCTTCGCCACTTTATTCCACACCATCTGAGAGTAGCCACTCATCTCCTCTCCGGGTGACTTCTCTTTTCACCCCTGTCATGATGAAGACCACAGACATGTTGGACACAAGCTTGGAACCTGTGACCACTTCACCTCCCAGTATGAATATCACCTCAGATGAGAGTCTGGCCACTTCTAAAGCCACCATGGAGACAGAGGCAATTCAGCTTTCAGAAAACACAGCTGTGACTCAGATGGGCACCATCAGCGCTAGACAAGAATTCTATTCCTCTTATCCAGGCCTCCCAGAGCCATCCAAAGTGACATCTCCAGTGGTCACCTCTTCCACCATAAAAGACATTGTTTCTACAACCATACCTGCTTCCTCTGAGATAACAAGAATTGAGATGGAGTCAACATCCACCCTGACCCCCACACCAAGGGAGACCAGCACCTCCCAGGAGATCCACTCAGCCACAAAGCCAAGCACTGTTCCTTACAAGGCACTCACTAGTGCCACGATTGAGGACTCCATGACACAAGTCATGTCCTCTAGCAGAGGACCTAGCCCTGATCAGTCCACAATGTCACAAGACATATCCACTGAAGTGATCACCAGGCTCTCTACCTCCCCCATCAAGACAGAATCTACAGAAATGACCATTACCACCCAAACAGGTTCTCCTGGGGCTACATCAAGGGGTACCCTTACCTTGGACACTTCAACAACTTTTATGTCAGGGACCCACTCAACTGCATCTCAAGGATTTTCACACTCACAGATGACCGCTCTTATGAGTAGAACTCCTGGAGATGTGCCATGGCTAAGCCATCCCTCTGTGGAAGAAGCCAGCTCTGCCTCTTTCTCACTGTCTTCACCTGTCATGACCTCATCTTCTCCCGTTTCTTCCACATTACCAGACAGCATCCACTCTTCTTCGCTTCCTGTGACATCACTTCTCACCTCAGGGCTGGTGAAGACCACAGAGCTGTTGGGCACAAGCTCAGAACCTGAAACCAGTTCACCCCCAAATTTGAGCAGCACCTCAGCTGAAATACTGGCCATCACTGAAGTCACTACAGATACAGAGAAACTGGAGATGACCAATGTGGTAACCTCAGGTTATACACATGAATCTCCTTCCTCTGTCCTAGCTGACTCAGTGACAACAAAGGCCACATCTTCAATGGGTATCACCTACCCCACAGGAGATACAAATGTTCTCACATCAACCCCTGCCTTCTCTGACACCAGTAGGATTCAAACAAAGTCAAAGCTCTCACTGACTCCTGGGTTGATGGAGACCAGCATCTCTGAAGAGACCAGCTCTGCCACAGAAAAAAGCACTGTCCTTTCTAGTGTGCCCACTGGTGCTACTACTGAGGTCTCCAGGACAGAAGCCATCTCTTCTAGCAGAACATCCATCCCAGGCCCTGCTCAATCCACAATGTCATCAGACACCTCCATGGAAACCATCACTAGAATTTCTACCCCCCTCACAAGGAAAGAATCAACAGACATGGCCATCACCCCCAAAACAGGTCCTTCTGGGGCTACCTCGCAGGGTACCTTTACCTTGGACTCATCAAGCACAGCCTCCTGGCCAGGAACTCACTCAGCTACAACTCAGAGATTTCCACAGTCAGTGGTGACAACTCCTATGAGCAGAGGTCCTGAGGATGTGTCATGGCCAAGCCCGCTGTCTGTGGAAAAAAACAGCCCTCCATCTTCCCTGGTATCTTCATCTTCAGTAACCTCACCTTCGCCACTTTATTCCACACCATCTGGGAGTAGCCACTCCTCTCCTGTCCCTGTCACTTCTCTTTTCACCTCTATCATGATGAAGGCCACAGACATGTTGGATGCAAGTTTGGAACCTGAGACCACTTCAGCTCCCAATATGAATATCACCTCAGATGAGAGTCTGGCCGCTTCTAAAGCCACCACGGAGACAGAGGCAATTCACGTTTTTGAAAATACAGCAGCGTCCCATGTGGAAACCACCAGTGCTACAGAGGAACTCTATTCCTCTTCCCCAGGCTTCTCAGAGCCAACAAAAGTGATATCTCCAGTGGTCACCTCTTCCTCTATAAGAGACAACATGGTTTCCACAACAATGCCTGGCTCCTCTGGCATTACAAGGATTGAGATAGAGTCAATGTCATCTCTGACCCCTGGACTGAGGGAGACCAGAACCTCCCAGGACATCACCTCATCCACAGAGACAAGCACTGTCCTTTACAAGATGCCCTCTGGTGCCACTCCTGAGGTCTCCAGGACAGAAGTTATGCCCTCTAGCAGAACATCCATTCCTGGCCCTGCTCAGTCCACAATGTCACTAGACATCTCCGATGAAGTTGTCACCAGGCTGTCTACCTCTCCCATCATGACAGAATCTGCAGAAATAACCATCACCACCCAAACAGGTTATTCTCTGGCTACATCCCAGGTTACCCTTCCCTTGGGCACCTCAATGACCTTTTTGTCAGGGACCCACTCAACTATGTCTCAAGGACTTTCACACTCAGAGATGACCAATCTTATGAGCAGGGGTCCTGAAAGTCTGTCATGGACGAGCCCTCGCTTTGTGGAAACAACTAGATCTTCCTCTTCTCTGACATCATTACCTCTCACGACCTCACTTTCTCCTGTGTCCTCCACATTACTAGACAGTAGCCCCTCCTCTCCTCTTCCTGTGACTTCACTTATCCTCCCAGGCCTGGTGAAGACTACAGAAGTGTTGGATACAAGCTCAGAGCCTAAAACCAGTTCATCTCCAAATTTGAGCAGCACCTCAGTTGAAATACCGGCCACCTCTGAAATCATGACAGATACAGAGAAAATTCATCCTTCCTCAAACACAGCGGTGGCCAAAGTGAGGACCTCCAGTTCTGTTCATGAATCTCATTCCTCTGTCCTAGCTGACTCAGAAACAACCATAACCATACCTTCAATGGGTATCACCTCCGCTGTGGACGATACCACTGTTTTCACATCAAATCCTGCCTTCTCTGAGACTAGGAGGATTCCGACAGAGCCAACATTCTCATTGACTCCTGGATTCAGGGAGACTAGCACCTCTGAAGAGACCACCTCAATCACAGAAACAAGTGCAGTCCTTTATGGAGTGCCCACTAGTGCTACTACTGAAGTCTCCATGACAGAAATCATGTCCTCTAATAGAATACACATCCCTGACTCTGATCAGTCCACGATGTCTCCAGACATCATCACTGAAGTGATCACCAGGCTCTCTTCCTCATCCATGATGTCAGAATCAACACAAATGACCATCACCACCCAAAAAAGTTCTCCTGGGGCTACAGCACAGAGTACTCTTACCTTGGCCACAACAACAGCCCCCTTGGCAAGGACCCACTCAACTGTTCCTCCTAGATTTTTACACTCAGAGATGACAACTCTTATGAGTAGGAGTCCTGAAAATCCATCATGGAAGAGCTCTCTCTTTGTGGAAAAAACTAGCTCTTCATCTTCTCTGTTGTCCTTACCTGTCACGACCTCACCTTCTGTTTCTTCCACATTACCGCAGAGTATCCCTTCCTCCTCTTTTTCTGTGACTTCACTCCTCACCCCAGGCATGGTGAAGACTACAGACACAAGCACAGAACCTGGAACCAGTTTATCTCCAAATCTGAGTGGCACCTCAGTTGAAATACTGGCTGCCTCTGAAGTCACCACAGATACAGAGAAAATTCATCCTTCTTCAAGCATGGCAGTGACCAATGTGGGAACCACCAGTTCTGGACATGAACTATATTCCTCTGTTTCAATCCACTCGGAGCCATCCAAGGCTACATACCCAGTGGGTACTCCCTCTTCCATGGCTGAAACCTCTATTTCCACATCAATGCCTGCTAATTTTGAGACCACAGGATTTGAGGCTGAGCCATTTTCTCATTTGACTTCTGGATTTAGGAAGACAAACATGTCCCTGGACACCAGCTCAGTCACACCAACAAATACACCTTCTTCTCCTGGGTCCACTCACCTTTTACAGAGTTCCAAGACTGATTTCACCTCTTCTGCAAAAACATCATCCCCAGACTGGCCTCCAGCCTCACAGTATACTGAAATTCCAGTGGACATAATCACCCCCTTTAATGCTTCTCCATCTATTACGGAGTCCACTGGGATAACCTCCTTCCCAGAATCCAGGTTTACTATGTCTGTAACAGAAAGTACTCATCATCTGAGTACAGATTTGCTGCCTTCAGCTGAGACTATTTCCACTGGCACAGTGATGCCTTCTCTATCAGAGGCCATGACTTCATTTGCCACCACTGGAGTTCCACGAGCCATCTCAGGTTCAGGTAGTCCATTCTCTAGGACAGAGTCAGGCCCTGGGGATGCTACTCTGTCCACCATTGCAGAGAGCCTGCCTTCATCCACTCCTGTGCCATTCTCCTCTTCAACCTTCACTACCACTGATTCTTCAACCATCCCAGCCCTCCATGAGATAACTTCCTCTTCAGCTACCCCATATAGAGTGGACACCAGTCTTGGGACAGAGAGCAGCACTACTGAAGGACGCTTGGTTATGGTCAGTACTTTGGACACTTCAAGCCAACCAGGCAGGACATCTTCATCACCCATTTTGGATACCAGAATGACAGAGAGCGTTGAGCTGGGAACAGTGACAAGTGCTTATCAAGTTCCTTCACTCTCAACACGGTTGACAAGTAAGGACCCACAGCCCCTACAATCCCATTATTGGGGGCTCATAGGAAATGACCCCTTCCTAAGAAGCAAAAAAAGAGTTAACTAGTTTATTCCTGTACCAGAAATTCTCTTAGCAAACATGTGTTTATCTAATTTCACTCCTAGGCACTGGGTTAAGGAATTGGAGAAACAAAAATAAGCAAATAATTGAATCATTACAGTATCGTGATAGGTGCTCTAATATTACTACTAGTAATGATGATGATGACAATAAGAATGACAACAGAAAATATTTATAACAGTACTTACTCTGTTTCAAGTGCAGTTTTATTAAGCTATTTGATCCTCAATTGTAACACTAATTGAAGTAGAGATTATTAGAAGCCTATTTTGGAGATGAAGACATTTAGGCACAGGGAGATTAAGTAACTTTCTTAAGTCCATATAGCTAGAAAGCAATAGAACTAGGATAAGAACTCAAATTGTGTGTCACTAGGAACTCATGCTCCTAACTGCTGGGCTAAACAGGAGTGGTCAGAGAGGTAACAGAAAAGGCAAGAAGTTCTGGCATCACAGAAGCCACAGGAGGGGAGGGTTTTAGGAAGGAGAAATGGTAAGTTCTGTTAAATACCACAGAATTGCCAAGTTGAAATGAGGTGAGAAGTGCTTTGGCAACATGGGGGTTCTCAGGGATTCTAATGAAGGGAGCATCAGTGAGGTATAGGGCATTAGAAGAACAGCTAAAATACTACGTAGACGTAAGGGAGGGTTTCTCCCTTTGAGTTGAGCAAGAGACAAAAGGGATAAGTGAAAGGAAAAAGTGAATTAATGAAAATAGAGGGAACAAAGTACCTAAGAAGGTAGAAGACACCCAGAGCCTAGAAGGAGGAAACACTACTTCCAAGAGGTCAGTAGATAAAGGAAGGAACTTCTTGGGGATTCCATTCCTCTGAAAGGGTTGAGCTTGGCACCAACTTTTGTTCTGGACACAAATCCAAAGAGGCCCTCCAACGACTCGAGTTTCTGCCTCACTGGACAATATCTCCAGGAGAATGATTTGCTCCCTCTCCTTCTTCACATTATTTTGTAATTCACACTAAATTTAGACACATTGGTGGCTATTGACCCATATGTTACTATGTGACTCAGTAGTTGAGTCACGGGTGTTCAGTAAGCAAGTGATGAATGGCATGGCGAGAAGGGAGAAGTGTAGTTGGATGGATAAAAGGAAGAATGGAGAGAAGAGTGAATGGAAGGAAGCAAAGATGAAGCGGAGGAAGGATAGATGCACAGAAGGAAGGATGAAAAGAAAGAAAGATGATGGAAGACAGGATTGAAGGGGATATAGATTGAAGGAAAGAAAGGTAGAAGGATGAAATGAAGTAAAGATTGAAGAAAAGATGGATGGAAAGAAGAAAGGAGGGTGCACAAAAAATCTCACACTTCACCACATATGATTCATCCATATAAGAAAAAACCACTTGTACCCTCAAAGCTATTGAAATACAAACTTTTAAATTAAAATTTTAAAAAGCAAGAGAAAGGAAAGAAGGGAGGAAAGACAAAAGGAAGAATGGGTGATAGAAGGAAAGAATAAAAGGAAGAAAAAATGGAAGAATAGATGATCAGATCTAGGGATGAATGAAAGGAAGGATGGACAAATCTATAGGTAGGTGGATGGATCTATGGACAGGTGTGGCCACTTATGGCACATAGTCCCAGCTCCAGTTCATACTGATGGACTTGAGGAGTGTTTGTGGCCAATGAAGTGGATCCATTTAGACAGTGCTCTTCTTCTGAATGAGATGAGTTACCCCAGTTTTTCTCCCCACCTTCATCTTCAGGAACTGATGGCATTATGGAACACATCACAAAAATACCCAATGAAGCAGCACACAGAGGTACCATAAGACCAGTCAAAGGCCCTCAGACATCCACTTCGCCTGCCAGTCCTAAAGGTAGGTTTAACTTTGCTTACCTCCCAGTAATGCCACTCGTGACCATATTTCCTCCTCCAGAGAGACAAAATGTTTGTATTCTTTAGAGAGAGAATTGTGTGTGGTTGTCATAGGTTTCCCTGTCTGAACTGAGTCTTTATCTAATGGTTACCAGGCAGATGTTACCACTTCTCTTTCTCCTCATGGCATGCTGAGTGAGTTTTGTCCAACATCAAATATTCACAAATTTGTCCATATTAACCAAATTTTAAAAATGCTCATTAAAAACTTACTATGAGCTGGGCGCAGTGGCTCATGCCTGTAATCCCAATACTTTGGGAGGCTGAGGTGGGTGGATCACCTGAGGTCAAAAATTCGAGACCAGTCTGACCAAAATGGTGAAACTCCATCTCTACTGAAAATATAAAAATTAGCCGGGCATGGTGGCACACACCTGTAATCACAGCTACTCAGGAGGCTGAGGCAAGAGAGTCACTTGAACCCAGGAGGTAGAGGCTGCAGTGAGCTGAGATTGTGCCAATGCACTCCAGCCTGGGTGGCAGAGCAAGACTCCAGCTCAAAAATAAATAAATAAATTATATATATATATATATATTTTATTTAAATAAAATATACTATATATATATGTATATATATATGTATGTATATATATATATGTATGTATATATATATATATATATATATATATATATATAGAGAGAGAGAGAGAGAGAGAGAGAGAGAGAGACAGAGTATGTCTGAAAATGCATCCCAATAGTTCTAGCAAATGTAGGAAAAGGAAGTATAAATTAACAGCCTTTATGTATGCCCTGGTTGAAAAACAGACATAACTCTCTTGTAAGAGAAACTTCACAAAAATATCTAGGATTATATCTCCCATGATGAAAAATTTGGAACTGTACATTTTTTTTAACTGTCACTTAAATAAAGAAGATGGGTGAGCTCCTGGGTTATTTTTGTTTGTCATCACTGGAGAGCTAAATCACAATATGTAAGTACAATGGGGGGAATAAAAACACGATATAAATGTAAGATGGTTTATGACATCACTGTTATATGTTTTCTTTGTCACAATATTTAGTAATTCCTCCTTCTGTTTTGAATAAAGTCTGAAACAAAATTTTCACTTTAAAAGGCAGTAATATGAAATACATAAATAAATAAAAATCTGGGTTTCTCAACTTTGACACTATTGTCATTTGGGGCAGATACTTCTCTGCGATGGGGGCTGTGCTGTGCGTTGTAGGATGTTTACCAGCCTCTCTGGCCTCTGTTCTAGATGCCATACCTTCTGCCCACACACAGTTGTGACAACCAAAAATATCTCCAGACATTGTTAAGTGTCCCCTGGAAGCAAAACTGCCCCTGGTTGAGAACCACTGAACTGGAGAATGCATCCTAAGATCCATCTTACTAGATGGGCGTTTTCACCTCACTTCATTCTCTTTCCATTCTGGTCCCCACAAGATCCAGAAGTTCCTTTAGTGAATTAATATAATGCAATGGTTAATAATATGGGTTTAGGATTTAGATACGATGATGTTCAAGTTTTTGCCCTGTCAATAGCTGTGTGTGACCTTGGTAAATTGTGGTCTCTGGATTTCTCTTTCTCTCCTGTAAAATGACAAGAATTATACAATGTGCATTTTATTTTATTTTATCTCACTTTATTTATTTATTTATTTGAGGTGGAGTCTTGCTCTGTCACCCAAGCTGGAGTGCAGAGGTGCAATCTCGGCTCCCTGCAACCTCCATCCCCTGAGTTTGAGTCATTCTCCTGCCTCAGCCTCCCGAGTAGCTGGGATTACAGATGCACGCCACTAAGCCTGGCTAATTTTTGTATTTTTAGTAGAGATGGGGTTTGACCATGTTGACCAGGCTGGTCTAGAACTCCTGACCTCAGGTGATCCGCCCACCTCGTCCTCCCAAAATGCTGGGATTACAGGCATGAGCCACCGCGCCTGGCCAGAATGTGCCATTTAATGTTCTTGTGAGGTTTAAAAAGACAGTGCATGTCAAGTGCTTTGCAATTGCTCCTCCTCCTCCTTCCCATCAACATAATCACCATCATGGTCACCATTATTGTTAGATACACATGAAGCACTTGAGAGTGCATTCTCAGACATATTGTTTTTAGAGGATATCCAGCAACACAGGGACACTGCTCCATAATCAGAGTCAAAATCCCTTTCATTTTACCCCCTTTCTCTACCAAGCTCCAGTAGGCTTTGTGGGCTTTATAGAGAAGCCTCCAGTTAGTTCTTCCTCTTCCCTAGGAACCATTTTCTAAAGCCTGGTCAGCAGCTGCTGTCTCATCAATGCTACTGGAATCTTGTTCAAAGGTATTCCAGTCACCTTGGTCAGCTCTGGTAGTGTCTAGTGTGGTTGGTGGAGAATTCTATTTAGCAAATGTTTATTTTGTAGTAGAATTATTAGTAGTGACAGTAGTAATGGTAAGTAGTAGTGGTAGTAACAATAGCAGCAATAGCACTAGTAAGTAGTAGTAACTGTAGCAATAACCATAGCAATAAGCAGTAATACTAGTAGTAATAGTAGTGATAATGGCAGTAATGGTATGTAGAGTTGTGTTGGTAGTAACAGTAGTAGCAGTAGGTAGTAGCAGTGGTAGTAGTGACAGTAGAAATCATAAGTAATAGTGCTAGCAACAATAGTATTAATAGTAGTAACCATAGTAATAACATAGTAATAACCATAGCAATAGGCAGTAATATTAGTAGTAACAGTAGTAATAACAGCAGTAATGACAGAGCACTACCATTACTGCTGTTACTCTACTGTAGGTAGAGTAGTAATATTAAGTGGTAGTGATAGTAATAATAGTAATAGCAACAGCAGTAGTAATAGTAAGTAGCAGTAACCATAGTAATAACCATAGTGATAGGTAGTAATAGTTGTGGTAACAGTAGTAATAACTGCAGTAATGGTAGGTAGAGTGGTGGTAGTAGTAACAGTAGTAGTAGCAGTGGTAGCAGTAACAGTAGCAATAGTAATAGTGGTAGTAACAGTAGTAGCAGTACTAGTAGTAGTAATCATAGTAATAACCATTGCAATAGGTAGTAGTAACAGTAGCAATAACAGCAGTAATGGTAGGTGGAGAAGTGATAGTAATAACAGTAGCAATAGCAGGTCATAGTCGTGGTAATAGTAGTAATGTCTTATCGTGACCCAGGAGGCACTGTGCTTGGCGCCTTTTTACCAACACTTTGAGATGGCCATTGTACTTATCCCCACTTTATAGACGGGAAAATGGAGGTCCAGCAATATTTTTTAACTTAAAGAGCCACCCATCTCTTTAGAGAAAGAGCCAGAATCCCAGGCAGGGCTATCTTATTCCAGAGCCCAAGCTCTCAAACACATGATACACAATACTTAATCTCTCTCAAGTCAGAGGAGATCCACTTAAGTATACATCCATCCACATATTCATTCATTCAATCATTCAACAAATATTAGTTGAGCACTTACCGTATGCCAAACAGTCAAACGTGAATAGCTGTTACAAATGAGACTGTGAAGGATGGTACAACGCAGATTCAGACAGTGTGATAAGGAAATATTGAGAAGCAAAGATGAGTTCTGGAGTGAATTTGTAAAGGTGGATGTGGGCTTGGATTTCAATAATGGCAGAACTTAAGGAATCTGATGAGAAGTGGGCACTTCAGGCAGAGAGAAGAGCTTGAACAAGGCTCAGAGGCTGACAGTGCAGGAAACACATGGGAAGAGGGAATAGAGTAGCGGTCAAGAATTCACAGAGGAGTTATAGGTGAAGATGCAACCAAGTTACAGACCAAGGTAAGATAGGGGAATACCAATCACAATCTCTTTTCCCATTCCAGAAGCATCCCAGACACATCCTAGTAACCGAGAGACATTTCTCTCCCTTTCCTCCTGTGGAGAATAAATAAGCTATTGCAAGTCCAGTAAGTGTAATCATTTTGTTCAAATTGTGTGCCCATTCCCCAATTTACAGGACTACACACAGGAGGGACAAAAAGAATGGAGACCACCACCACAGCTCTGAAGACCACCACCACAGCTCTGAAGACCACTTCCAGAGCCACCTTGACCACCAGTGTCTATACTCCCACTTTGGGAACACTGACTCCCCTCAATGCATCAATGCAAATGGCCAGCACAATCCCCACAGAAATGATGATCACAACCCCATATGTTTTCCCTGATGTTCCAGAAACGACATCCTCATTGGCTACCAGCCTGGGAGCAGAAACCAGCACAGCTCTTCCCAGGACAACCCCATCTGTTTTCAATAGAGAATCAGAGACCACAGCCTCACTGGTCTCTCGTTCTGGGGCAGAGAGAAGTCCGGTTATTCAAACTCTAGATGTTTCTTCTAGTGAGCCAGATACAACAGCTTCATGGGTTATCCATCCTGCAGAGACCATCCCAACTGTTTCCAAGACAACCCCCAATTTTTTCCACAGTGAATTAGACACTGTATCTTCCACAGCCACCAGTCATGGGGCAGACGTCAGCTCAGCCATTCCAACAAATATCTCACCTAGTGAACTAGATGCACTGACCCCACTGGTCACTATTTCGGGGACAGATACTAGTACAACATTCCCAACACTGACTAAGTCCCCACATGAAACAGAGACAAGAACCACATGGCTCACTCATCCTGCAGAGACCAGCTCAACTATTCCCAGAACAATCCCCAATTTTTCTCATCATGAATCAGATGCCACACCTTCAATAGCCACCAGTCCTGGGGCAGAAACCAGTTCAGCTATTCCAATTATGACTGTCTCACCTGGTGCAGAAGATCTGGTGACCTCACAGGTCACTAGTTCTGGGACAGACAGAAATATGACTATTCCAACTTTGACTCTTTCTCCTGGTGAACCAAAGACGATAGCCTCATTAGTCACCCATCCTGAAGCACAGACAAGTTCGGCCATTCCAACTTCAACTATCTCGCCTGCTGTATCACGGTTGGTGACCTCAATGGTCACCAGTTTGGCGGCAAAGACAAGTACAACTAATCGAGCTCTGACAAACTCCCCTGGTGAACCAGCTACAACAGTTTCATTGGTCACGCATCCTGCACAGACCAGCCCAACAGTTCCCTGGACAACTTCCATTTTTTTCCATAGTAAATCAGACACCACACCTTCAATGACCACCAGTCATGGGGCAGAATCCAGTTCAGCTGTTCCAACTCCAACTGTTTCAACTGAGGTACCAGGAGTAGTGACCCCTTTGGTCACCAGTTCTAGGGCAGTGATCAGTACAACTATTCCAATTCTGACTCTTTCTCCTGGTGAACCAGAGACCACACCTTCAATGGCCACCAGTCATGGGGAAGAAGCCAGTTCTGCTATTCCAACTCCAACTGTTTCACCTGGGGTACCAGGAGTGGTGACCTCTCTGGTCACTAGTTCTAGGGCAGTGACTAGTACAACTATTCCAATTCTGACTTTTTCTCTTGGTGAACCAGAGACCACACCTTCAATGGCCACCAGTCATGGGACAGAAGCTGGCTCAGCTGTTCCAACTGTTTTACCTGAGGTACCAGGAATGGTGACCTCTCTGGTTGCTAGTTCTAGGGCAGTAACCAGTACAACTCTTCCAACTCTGACTCTTTCTCCTGGTGAACCAGAGACCACACCTTCAATGGCCACCAGTCATGGGGCAGAAGCCAGCTCAACTGTTCCAACTGTTTCACCTGAGGTACCAGGAGTGGTGACCTCTCTGGTCACTAGTTCTAGTGGAGTAAACAGTACAAGTATTCCAACTCTGATTCTTTCTCCTGGTGAACTAGAAACCACACCTTCAATGGCCACCAGTCATGGGGCAGAAGCCAGCTCAGCTGTTCCAACTCCAACTGTTTCACCTGGGGTATCAGGAGTGGTGACCCCTCTGGTCACTAGTTCCAGGGCAGTGACCAGTACAACTATTCCAATTCTAACTCTTTCTTCTAGTGAGCCAGAGACCACACCTTCAATGGCCACCAGTCATGGGGTAGAAGCCAGCTCAGCTGTTCTAACTGTTTCACCTGAGGTACCAGGAATGGTGACCTCTCTGGTCACTAGTTCTAGAGCAGTAACCAGTACAACTATTCCAACTCTGACTATTTCTTCTGATGAACCAGAGACCACAACTTCATTGGTCACCCATTCTGAGGCAAAGATGATTTCAGCCATTCCAACTTTAGCTGTCTCCCCTACTGTACAAGGGCTGGTGACTTCACTGGTCACTAGTTCTGGGTCAGAGACCAGTGCGTTTTCAAATCTAACTGTTGCCTCAAGTCAACCAGAGACCATAGACTCATGGGTCGCTCATCCTGGGACAGAAGCAAGTTCTGTTGTTCCAACTTTGACTGTCTCCACTGGTGAGCCGTTTACAAATATCTCATTGGTCACCCATCCTGCAGAGAGTAGCTCAACTCTTCCCAGGACAACCTCAAGGTTTTCCCACAGTGAATTAGACACTATGCCTTCTACAGTCACCAGTCCTGAGGCAGAATCCAGCTCAGCCATTTCAACAACTATTTCACCTGGTATACCAGGTGTGCTGACATCACTGGTCACTAGCTCTGGGAGAGACATCAGTGCAACTTTTCCAACAGTGCCTGAGTCCCCACATGAATCAGAGGCAACAGCCTCATGGGTTACTCATCCTGCAGTCACCAGCACAACAGTTCCCAGGACAACCCCTAATTATTCTCATAGTGAACCAGACACCACACCATCAATAGCCACCAGTCCTGGGGCAGAAGCCACTTCAGATTTTCCAACAATAACTGTCTCACCTGATGTACCAGATATGGTAACCTCACAGGTCACTAGTTCTGGGACAGACACCAGTATAACTATTCCAACTCTGACTCTTTCTTCTGGTGAGCCAGAGACCACAACCTCATTTATCACCTATTCTGAGACACACACAAGTTCAGCCATTCCAACTCTCCCTGTCTCCCCTGGTGCATCAAAGATGCTGACCTCACTGGTCATCAGTTCTGGGACAGACAGCACTACAACTTTCCCAACACTGACGGAGACCCCATATGAACCAGAGACAACAGCCATACAGCTCATTCATCCTGCAGAGACCAACACAATGGTTCCCAGGACAACTCCCAAGTTTTCCCATAGTAAGTCAGACACCACACTCCCAGTAGCCATCACCAGTCCTGGGCCAGAAGCCAGTTCAGCTGTTTCAACGACAACTATCTCACCTGATATGTCAGATCTGGTGACCTCACTGGTCCCTAGTTCTGGGACAGACACCAGTACAACCTTCCCAACATTGAGTGAGACCCCATATGAACCAGAGACTACAGCCACGTGGCTCACTCATCCTGCAGAAACCAGCACAACGGTTTCTGGGACAATTCCCAACTTTTCCCATAGGGGATCAGACACTGCACCCTCAATGGTCACCAGTCCTGGAGTAGACACGAGGTCAGGTGTTCCAACTACAACCATCCCACCCAGTATACCAGGGGTAGTGACCTCACAGGTCACTAGTTCTGCAACAGACACTAGTACAGCTATTCCAACTTTGACTCCTTCTCCTGGTGAACCAGAGACCACAGCCTCATCAGCTACCCATCCTGGGACACAGACTGGCTTCACTGTTCCAATTCGGACTGTTCCCTCTAGTGAGCCAGATACAATGGCTTCCTGGGTCACTCATCCTCCACAGACCAGCACACCTGTTTCCAGAACAACCTCCAGTTTTTCCCATAGTAGTCCAGATGCCACACCTGTAATGGCCACCAGTCCTAGGACAGAAGCCAGTTCAGCTGTACTGACAACAATCTCACCTGGTGCACCAGAGATGGTGACTTCACAGATCACTAGTTCTGGGGCAGCAACCAGTACAACTGTTCCAACTTTGACTCATTCTCCTGGTATGCCAGAGACCACAGCCTTATTGAGCACCCATCCCAGAACAGAGACAAGTAAAACATTTCCTGCTTCAACTGTGTTTCCTCAAGTATCAGAGACCACAGCCTCACTCACCATTAGACCTGGTGCAGAGACTAGCACAGCTCTCCCAACTCAGACAACATCCTCTCTCTTCACCCTACTTGTAACTGGAACCAGCAGAGTTGATCTAAGTCCAACTGCTTCACCTGGTGTTTCTGCAAAAACAGCCCCACTTTCCACCCATCCAGGGACAGAAACCAGCACAATGATTCCAACTTCAACTCTTTCCCTTGGTTTACTAGAGACTACAGGCTTACTGGCCACCAGCTCTTCAGCAGAGACCAGCACGAGTACTCTAACTCTGACTGTTTCCCCTGCTGTCTCTGGGCTTTCCAGTGCCTCTATAACAACTGATAAGCCCCAAACTGTGACCTCCTGGAACACAGAAACCTCACCATCTGTAACTTCAGTTGGACCCCCAGAATTTTCCAGGACTGTCACAGGCACCACTATGACCTTGATACCATCAGAGATGCCAACACCACCTAAAACCAGTCATGGAGAAGGAGTGAGTCCAACCACTATCTTGAGAACTACAATGGTTGAAGCCACTAATTTAGCTACCACAGGTTCCAGTCCCACTGTGGCCAAGACAACAACCACCTTCAATACACTGGCTGGAAGCCTCTTTACTCCTCTGACCACACCTGGGATGTCCACCTTGGCCTCTGAGAGTGTGACCTCAAGAACAAGTAAGAATAACTTTTTTATTGTGGTAAAATATAAATACTATAAAAATTGCCATTCTAAACATTTTAATTGTACAACTCAGCAGTACTAATACATTCACATTGTTGTGCAACCCTCACCACTATCTGTTTTCAAAACTTTTTTTATCACCCCAAACAGGACTGAAGGAATAATTTCCCATTCCCCATTCTCCCTAGTGCAGTGGTGCAATCTCGGCTCACCACAACCTCTGAACCTCTGTCTCCTGGGTTCAAGCAATTCTCCTGCATCAGCCTCCTGAGTAGTTGGGACTACAGGTGCACGCCACCGTGCCTGGCTAATTTTTGTATTTTTAGTACAGACAGGGTTTTACCATGTTGGTCAGGCTGGTCTCAAACTCCTGACCTCAGGTGGTCCACACGCCTTGGCCTCCCAAAGTGCTGGGATTACAAGTGTGAGACACTGTGCCCGGCCATATCTGTTAGATCTTACTAATCCTGTCAAGAGGATTCAGTGTCCTTTTTTTTTTTTCTTTCTTTTTTTTGATAGAGTCTCCCTCTGGCACCCAGGCTGGAGTGCAGTGGTACGGTCTTGGCTCACTGCAGCCTCCACCTCCCAGACTGAAGCGATTCTCCTGCCTCAGCCTCCCGAATAGCTGGGACTACAGGCGCGTGCCACCACGCCCAGCTAATTTTTGCATTTTTAGTAGAGATGGGATTTCACTATGTTGGCCAGGCTGGTCTCAAACTCCTGATCTCAAGTGATCCGCCCAAGGGCCTCCCAAAGTACTGGGATTACAGGTAGGAGCCACCTCACCTGGCCCTATTTTCGGAATGGATTTTTTTTTAATGTTTAAAATGTCACCTAAGATTATTGTGAAGATCAAATAAGATAAAATCCTAATAACCCAAGTAAACCACAGGGCTCCACTTGGACCAGTCTCAGAAGTTTCAAGAAAATCAGTCAGACCATCAAATGTAAAATAAGTCTAAATTTTCTTTGCACTATTCACAGAGTGCCAAAGAGGATCTAATTCATGTTTCAGAACATACCCTACTTACTAAAATCCCCTTTTCCTCATTTCTTCTCATTCTGCAACTTTATCATCTCCTGCGGACCCCCTAGCCTCTCCCCTCCCCATAGTCAGTCTCTCTCTCTCTCTTTCCCTCCCCTCTTATTATCTCAATTTCACACGAAAGAATTCCAGAAACTATACTGCCAAAAGTCTTTCCTGTCTTTGAAAAGTTGGGAAAGAGGAGAAACTCAGACAGCAATGACAAAATTATACGTAATGGATGAAGGAAACACAAATAAGGCTGGAAACAGAAAATTTTGTCCCCATCATTTATTTAATGAAGGTGGCAGTATTCCAGCCACATAGTGAACCCCCACAATAAGAAGGGGCCTCTGGCGATTGATTATTGTCATTGTTGTTAATGATAATGAGGGTGAGGATATCATGAGCATCAGTGTAGGAGGCAGTTAACTAATAAGACCAAGCTGTTGGCTGGGCGTGCTGGTTCACACCTGCAGTCCCAGCACTTTGGGAGGCCAAAGTGGGTGGATCACTTGAGGTCAGGAGTTCAAGACTAGCCTGGCCAACATGGTGAAACCTGGTCTCTACCAAAAATACAAAAATTAGTCAGGTGTGGTGGCGTGTGCCTGTAATGACAACTACTTGGGAGGCTGAGGCAGGAGAATCACTTGAACCTGGGAGGCGGAGGCTGCAGTGAGATGAGCTTGAACCACTGCACTCCAGCCCGGGCAACAGAGAGAGACTCTTGTCTCAAAAAACAAAACAAACAAACAAAAACTAAACCAAACAAAAAAAGACTAGCTGTTATTCATTTATTTATTTATTTATTTAGAGACGGAGTCTCGCTCTGTCACCCAGGCTGGAGTGCAGCGGCACAATCTTGGCTCACTGCAACCTCTGCCTCCCAGGTTCATGTGATTCTCCCGCCTCAGCCTCCCCAGCTGTTGTTATTCATGAATGAACCTCAGAGAAAGCACACAGGAGGGTTGGTGCACCTGTGTTTTGAGTTCTACCCCTCCTTCCTCTCTTAACTTCCTCCTGTCTTCTCACTCTGATTCGTTCTTCCTTCCTCTCCCTCTCTCTCTGCAGGTTATAACCATCGGTCCTGGATCTCCACCACCAGCAGTGAGTAAACATGGCCCTGAAGTCCCTATGCCCTGGGAATTCTTCCTCCCTAAGCCTGCCTTCCAGGAGGAAAGTATCCCCCATTCCCTAGGTTCTCATCCCCACAGAAACTCCAGAATAGCAAAAGTCTCAGGCTGAGCCAAGGCACAGATGCCAGTGCTCACCAAGAGTCCTATTCTCCCCTCGCTAAATGATAGGACCCAACAAACCCGATTCACGCTGCGTTTTCTTTCAGCTCCGATGACCTCCATGTTCTCTCCAAGGCCTCTCGTATCTGTGAGCCCCACCCCCAGCGCTACAGGTAGGAATCTGGCTTCCAGCTCCCATGAAACGTCGGCTGCCATTCAGTGGCTGATTAATTGCTGTGTGGTCTGAGTCCTGATGCCCACCAAGTCTCAGCGTGTTCCCCTCTGTCCAATCTCATCCAACAATTTAAGCTAATGCTTGTTTAATGATGTCCTCACTATACCACCTTGGACACTTTCTTTTTGCCTGGATTTAAAGCTTCCATTTCTTTCCTTCCTTCCTTCTTTTCTTCCTTCCTTCCTTCCTTCCTTCCTTCCTTCCTTCCTTCCTTCCTTCCTTCCTTCCTTCCTCCTTCCTTCCTTCCTTTCTTCCTTTCTTCCTGTCTTTTTCTTTCTTTCCTTCTTTTGGCAGAGTCTCACTCTGTCGCCCAGGCTGGAGTGCAATGGTGCAATCTCGGTTCACTGCAACCTCTGCCTCCCAGGTTCAAGCGATTCTCATGCCACATGCCACTATGCCTGGCTAATTTTTGTTTTTTTGTTTTTTGGGGGGTTTTTTGAGACAGAGTCTCAGTCTGTTGCCCAAGCTGGAGTGCAGTGGCATGATCTCGGGTCACTGCAACCTCCTTCTCCCAGGTTCAAGCGATTTTCCTGCCTCAGCCTCCTGAGTAGCTGGAACTACAGGCACGCACCATCACACCGGCTAATTTTTTGTGTTTTTAGTAGAGACGACGGTTTTGCAATGTGGGCCAGGCTTGTCTCGAACTCCTGACCTCAAGTGATCCTCCAGCCTCGGCCTCTCAAAGTGCTGGGATTACAAGTGTGAGCCACTGCACCAGGCCAAAAACTTGTATTTCAATAGTCATTGAGGCTGGGTGCAGTGGCTCACGCCTGTAATCCCAGCACTTTGGGAGGCTGAGGCCAGTGGATCATGAGGTCAGGAGATCAAGACCACCCTGGCTAACACAGTGAAACCCCATCTCTACTAAAAATACACAAAAAAATTAGCCGGGCATGGTGGCAGATGCCTGTAGTCCCAGCTACTCAGGAGGCTGAGGCAGGAGAATGGCGTGAACCTGGGAGGCAGAGCTTGCAGTGAGCGGAGATCGCACCGCTGCACTCCAGCCTGGGCAACAGAGAGCGACTCTGTCTCAAAAAAAAAAATATATATATATATATATATATATTCATTGAGACCGACTCTGACTTAAAAGCAGTAATGAATGGTGTAGGTTTTGGTAAATTACAGGTCTTGCTTTAAGTCCTGGTCCTCTCTTTTGCTCACTGTGTGGCCCCGGAAGAGCCATGTAACCTCTCCAGGCTTCAGTGTCCATTTTTAGAACGGAGTAAGTGAATAAGCTGTGTCCAATCATCTCTGGCCATATCAGCTTCATTTTTTTTTTCCTCCAGGGTCCAAACATCCCTCCACCCTCAGAGTCTTTGCACCTGGTGTTCTTGTCCTTCAAATCTCAGCTTGGATCACCCTTTATAAAGTAGCATTTCCCCCGTATACGCATCTTGCACACAGCCAATCTCTATTCTACCTCTATGCTCACTTCCTTCCTGGCAATTATTACTACAGCTGGGCCCTTGAACAGCATGAGGGTTCAGGGTGCTGACCCCTATGCATTCAAAAATCCACATATAACTTTTTTTTTTTTGAGATGGAGTTTCACACTTGTTGCCCAGGCTGGAGTGCAGTGGCGCCATCTTGGCTCACTGCAAACTCTGCCTCCTGGGTTCAAGTGATTCTCCTGCCTCAGCCTCCTGAGTAGCTGGGATTACAGGCATGTGCCACCATGCCCAGCTAATTTTGTATTTTTAGTAGAGATGAGGTTTCTCCATGTTCGCCAGGCTGCTCTTGAACTCCTGACTTCAGGTGATCCGCCTGCCTTGGCCTCCCAAAGTGCTGGGATTACAGGCATGAGCCATGATGCCCGGCCATTTGCTAATGGCATCTAGTAAGTAGAGGCCAGAGATGTTGCAAAACATCCAACAATGCACAAAGCAGCCTCCTATCAAAACACATTATCCAGACCAAAATGTCAATAGGGCTGAGGTTGAGCATCTGCTGTACACAGATTCCAAGTTCTGGTACAAATCTCGTAGTTCTCTGAGGGCTCATCTTTCAATGCCTAGCACATCAAAGGAGGCCAATTTCCTCTTCCCTTTCACCTCCTGGTATGAAATGTTTCCTCCTCCACCTTGATCCTGTAAGAGCCCAGCTGGAGTTTGCAGACGACGGGGAAAGAAATGGGTGAGGGAGGGTCCTATGGTTGAGTCTCCGCAGTGGGCCCTGGGTGCCCAGTTCACCCTCCTCCCCTTCATTTTCTCCATCATGACAACTCAAGGCAAATTCTCAGTTTCCATGGGCCAGTGGAATCCACTGACTTCATGAAATAACCCCACCCTGAGCAAATACCCCTCAAATAATAACTGTTTACACAACATCAGTGGCAACAATGACCCAAGCAGCAATGCCACCACCAGAATAGCAACCATAACAGCAGCTCATTTTCATCAAAAGGAAACTGTAGGGCCAGGCACAGTGGCTCACACCTATATTCCCAGCATTTTGGGAGGCTGAGGCAGGCAGATCACCTGAGGTCAGGAGTTCAAGACCAGCCCAGCCAACATGGTGAAACCCCATCTCTACTAAAAATACAAAAACTAGCCAGGCTTGGTGGCATGTGCCTGTAATCCTAGCTACTCGGGAGGCTGAGGCAGGAGAATTGCTTGAACCTGGGAGGCAGAGGTTGCAGTGAGCTGAGATTGTGCCACTGCACTCCAGCCTGGGCGACAGAGCAAGACTCCGTCTGAAAAAAAAAAAAAAAGGAATTGTGCCAGGAATTGTGATGAGAACTTTATATGCATTATCTCCTATTAATATTACCCAAACCTCCGTGAGTTACTATACTCATTTCTACAGAGAGCATTTATGCATCCAGGGAGGAAGTAATTAGCCCAGAATTACTCAGTTATGACACAGGACAGTATGAAAACTCCAACCGAAGATTGGAGACTCATGAAAACTCCAGGCTCCTAACTACAAGACATCACTGTGGATCGTCCAAATAGAGCAAGCCCCAATCTCAGGACAGGAATGAGGCATGAATGGCCTCTATGCTAATGATCTAACCTAATGCTGAATTTGTTACTTCCCTTCTGAATCCACTTGGAGATTTCCTTTATATCTGACTTGAAATAGAGGATATATACTCCTCTATCCTTGACATAGGAGATAATACACAGAAAGTATTTCATTGTAGTATCAAGTACACATCCTGTTCTGTGTCCATAGGATTATGACTAATTTAGGGCATGGCTTAACAGTGTGGTACTATTGAATGACAGACAGATGTCTGTTTTGTTGGATGCAGGACAAGCCATGTAACCTCCCCAGACTTTAGTGTCCCCTCTGTGGAATGGAATAAAAATACTACGTGGGATTGTTCTGATAATCAAATGAGATAATTCAGGAACAACCCAGATAAATAACAGGGCTGCCCTGGGTTCTGTCTTTCCTTGTATCTCTCACAGAGCCTCAAAGGAGATGCAATCCATGACCTAGAGAAACACTCAGGACAAATTCTCTTTTCCCCAGTTCCTTTCTTGCTCCAATGGCAACACCACCCCTCTCATCCTGAAGTCTCTTGTTTTTACCACCACACCTATTTTGCCAAATTTTCTCCAATATTCCAAACCATATGAAACCTTTCTTTCTTTCTTTTCTTTCCTTCCTTTCCTTCTTTCTTTCTTTTTTCTCTTCTTTTCTTTTCTTTTTGAGACATGGTCTCACTCTGTTGCACAGGCTGGAGTGCAATGGCACGATCTTTGCTCACTGCAACCTCCGCCTCCCAGGTTCAAGAGATTCTCTTGCCTCAGCCTCCTGAGTAGCTGGGATTACAGGCGCCCACCGCCACGCCACGCTAATTTTTGTGTTCTTAGTGGAGACGGGGTTTCGCCATGTTGGCCAGGCTGGTCTTGAACTCCTGACCTCAAGTGATTTGCCCATCTCGGTCTCCCAAAGTGCTAGGATTACAGGCGTGAGCCACCAAGCCCGGCCCCATATGAACCGTTTCTATCCCTCATTTCTCTGTACTTTTACCTAAAAACACCACTCCCTTCACCCATCACATTTTTGTCAATTCTACATCACACACACACACACACACACACACACACACACAGAGAAAGTAAGTTGGAAAAAAATTATACTATCATGAAATTTTGTGAAAGGAGGTAAGCTGAGAGAGTAAGAATCAAACTAAATTATCTTTATGGGTAGAAAGCACACTCATCCATACATGTGTCTTTCCACCCTTGTAATGTATTTATTATTATTGTTTGTATATACTAGATTCCCAATAAATAGGGACAGCTATTATGGTATTTTTATTTCAGGAATAATAATAGTGATGATTTCCACCATTATTGTCAAAGGACAAAGCACAAAATATGTACCAAATAAAATATAGCCATTATCCTTTATTCACAAAAGATCTTGGCCCCACCTCTTCTCAATGAAATGTCCATGACTTGTTCAACTTTGGCCACTCTGGGCTGAGAGATGGAGGTTCCCTTGCGAGCTGAAGTCACACATCGAAGGTGGAAGCCCCTCCCCTCCCTCTGGCTGGCTGAGGGATAGCCCAGATGGGCTCATCATGAAAGTTTCCCATTATTTCCATTTCTGGATCTACCATCTTCCCCTCCCCTACCTCTCACCCATCATAATTGTCCTTCTTTACTCTTTCCTCCCTATCTGCAGGTTATAACCGTCGGTACTGGACCCCTGCCACCAGCAGTGAGTATTCAAACCTGTGATATTCCAATGCCCTTGGGACCCTTCCTCCCCAAGGTGCATTCCTCAGAAGAGAAACTGATCATTCTCCCTCCCTACGTGCCCAGCCACAGCCTCAGAGCAGCCCCTAACCCGTCAAGGTCTTGGTGTGAGTCAAGATAGAAGTCCAAATTCCAATGAGCAGTTCCTGTCCCATATTCCTTTAGGAAGACACCCAATCATTTCTCCATGTTCTTTTTTTCTCAGCTCCAGTGACTTCTACATTCTCCCCAGGGATTTCCACATCCTCCATCCCCAGCTCCACAGGTAGGAAGCTCCTCTCTGGCATCTATGAAATTTAACACTGCATGGTCTGTTCCCTGCTGACCACCCAGACTCAGCCTGTTCCACTCGCCCTCTCACTCTCTCTCTCTCTCTTTTTTTTTTTTTTTTTTTTTTTTTTTTACGGAGTCTTGCTCTGTCACCCAGGCTGGAGTGGAATGGTGTGATCTCGGCTCACTGCAACCTTCGCCTCCCAGGTTCACGTGATTCTCCTGCCTCAGCCTCCGGAGTAGCTGGGATTACAGGTGCACACCACCATGCCTGGCTAATTTTTTGTATTTTTAGTAGAGACGGGGTTTCACCATGTTGGCCAGGCTGGTCTTGAACTCCTGACCTCAAGTGATCTACCCACCTTGGCCTCCCAAAGTGCTGGGATTATAGGCATGAGCCACCACGCCAGGCCCACTCTCTAAATTTTGACCACCCTGCCTTGAGTGGTCTTCTAGCACCCTAACCTCTGTCTAACCTCGAGAGCTTTGCACTAGCGATTCCTGGGGACCAGCTATGGTTGGTATCTTCTCAACTTTCTAATTTTTTTAAAATTATTATTATTATTATTATTATTTTAAATGGAGTCTCGCTCTGTCACCCAGGCTGGAGTGCAGTGGCACCATCTCGGCTCATTGCAACCTCTACCTCCCGGGTTCATGCAATTTTCCTGCCTCAGCCAGAAATTTTCTCAGTGGTCGAGATTGTGCCACTGCACTCCAGCCTGGGCAATGGAGCTAGGCTCCATCTCAAAAAAAAAAAAAAAAAGACGGAGGTCGGGCATTCCTAACCCTTAACCCTGCCTTGTGATTCTGGAGTTATGAGATAGAACCTGGTGTCCCGTAATTAAAATTCCGCCTTCAGGCCTTATGTTTTGTGAGTCACAACACTGCAAACTTTTTACATGCTGTAGACAGGATGTTCACTCTCCACTTCCTCACTGCTCTGCTCTAATCAATTCAACCATTTATGTGACATGCCTAACCCCTCTGGGCTTGTACGTATGTAACATGTATTACAAAGCAAGTCATTCCATGATCAATGCTGTCACTTTTTCTAGGTGCTTTCAAAATTTGTTCTTCATCATTGATTTTCAGTAGTTTGATTACGATGTGTCTGGGCATGGTTTTCTTTGAGTTTATCCTGCTTAAAGTGTTCTCAGCTTCTTGAGTCTCAAAGTGTTTATTTTCTGCTCTGATTCTTTCTCCCCTTCGGACCTCCAATGAAATGATGTTGCCCGAAGAGACCCTGAGGTTCTGTTCATTTTGTTATTTATCAATCTTTTTTCCTCTCCGAATTTCAGGTTTAATAATTTTTTTTTTTTTTTTGAGACGGAGTCTCGCTCTGTCGCCCAGGCTGGAGTGCAGTGGCGCGATCTCGGCTCACCGCAAGCTCCGCCCCCTGGGTTCACGCCATTCTCCTGCCTCAGCCTCCGGAGTAGCTGGGATTACAGGCACCCGCCACCATGCCCGGCTAATTTTTTGTATTTTTTAGTAGAGACGGGGTTTCACCGTATTAGCCAGGATGGTCTCAATCTCCTGACCTCGTGATCCGCCCGCCTCAGCCTCCTAAAGAGCTGGGATTACAGGCGTGAGCCACTGCGCCCGGCCCAGGTTTAATAATTTTTATAGAATATTTTCACAATCACCAAGCCTTTTCTCTACCAGCTCCATTCTGCCCATCCATTGAATTCTTTTTATCTCAGTTACTTTATGTTTCAGTTCGAAAGTTTCTACTTGGTTAGATAGATAGATGTTATATCATATATTATATGTTATATAAAAATATATTTATGGTTATACATATAACATATATGTTATATATAGTTATTTATATAGCCATAACTATATATAGCCATATATATAGTTATATATAACCATATATATAGTTACCATATAGTAACCACATATATAAAACATATATATATAGTGTCTCTCTATATATAGTTATATATATAGTTTCTATATCTGTAACTATATATAGTTATATATGTATGTTTCTCTGTATATAAATATATATATTTCTATATATATAGTTATACACATTATATATATAACTGGGAGATGTTGGTAAAGGATGGCGTGAGGAAACCTGGAGCAGTCATGGTAATCCTCGCTCTGCTCCGAACTCCTCAAGAGCAGGAGAAGGGTCCTCCTCATTCTCCAGCCATGTTGACTTTGAGCAATTTACTCATCCTCTCAGTACCTCAGTTTCCTCACCTGCCAATTGAGGATAATAATATTTCATAAATTGTTTGCAAATGTTATATGCAACTCTACGTAAGAACACCTAGCACAGGGGCTACCAGGGAATTTGGTTTAACAAATATTTATCAGGCACCTATTCTGGGCTGGGCAGGGGGGATAAGATGTTGACTAAGTCAAATGCAGTCCCTCCCCTCACCAAGTTTACAGTGTATTGGGCAAGACTGAAATGGAACAAGCAATTACAATTGACAATAAAAGACAACCAAGTTATTGAGCACTTACTATATGGCATGCCATATGCTATGTATTTTTTTTATTTTTAACTTTTCATTTTGAAATAAATAATAAATATAAAGTAAATAATAATATAAATAAATAATAAATAACTTTTCATTTTGAAATAAATAATAAATAAATTCAGGAGATGTTGCGAAAATAGTGTAGCATTCCCCTGTATCCTTCACCCAGTTTCTCCCCAATGGCTACATCTTACATAACTCTAATACAATATCAAAAGCAGGAAACTGACATTGTTAAAATCCATTTTACTGGTTTTACACGCGTGTGTGCATATGTGAGCTTGTGTATGTGCGTGTGTGTGCAGGCATGTGTGTGCATGCACGCCTGTGTGTGCATATGTGCATGTGTGCATGCGTGTGTGCATGTGTGCATGTGTGTGTGCATGCGTGCGTGCGTGCGTGCATCTGTGTGCATGTATGCACATGTGTGTGTGTCTGTGCACGTGTGTGCATGCATGTGTGTGTGCGTGTGTGTTGGTAGCCCTATGCAATTTTTATCACATGGGCATAGCCCTATAATCACCACCACCATCAAGATTCAGAACTGTTCCATTCCCCCAAAGATTCCCCTCATGCTAGCCTTCGTAATCATGCCCACTGAGCCCAACACTATTGCATAGAATAGCTATTCTACTCTCCATCTCCATCTCTGTCTCTACAATTTTCTTTTGAAGATGTTATATAAATGGAAATGTACAACATGTCACCTTTGAAATTGGCTTCTTTTCCACTCAGTGTAATGCCCTGGAGATGTGCTCTTTTTAACAGTCATGTAACCTTCCTAATTTCCCTCCAAAATATCATTATGCCCCTCGCCGCCTTTTTTTTTTTTTTTTTTTTTTGAGACAGAGTCTCGCTCTGTTGCCCAGGCTGGAGTGCAGTGGTATAATCTCAGCTCACTGCAGCCTCCGTCTCCCGGGTTCAAGGGATTCCCCTGCCTCAGCCTCCCAAGTAGCCAGGATTACAAGTGCATGCCACCACGCCTGGCTAATTTTTGTATTTTTAGTCGAGACGGGGTTTCATTGTGTTGGCCAGGCTGGTCTCGAATTCCTGACCTCAAGTGATCTGCCCGCCTTGGCCTCCCAAAGTGCTGGGATTACAGGTGTGAGCCACCGCGCCCGACCCATATTGCCCATTGTATTACAGCGGAAGAAACTGAGGTATGGACAGGTAACATGTCCATGGTCACTTGGCTGGTGAGGGGCAGAGAGGAGATTTGAAACCAAATCTGACTCACTAGTGTGGCCGTAACCATGGTAACTATGTCTCTCTACCATGTGGTCTCCTCTTTATTAAAGGAAGGGCAAGTTCTGGGAGTTTTGGGAGTTTTGGGCTTGAGTGGGGAAGGGTAGCCAAGTAAAGCAGGTGAGAGAAGGTCTGCTTTAAGGACTGCTGTTTGATTTTTATTGTTGTTGTTCAGTGTTCAATGGGATTGAGTTGACTCTTTTTTCCCTTCTTGTTCCCCAAAGCATGAGACTGTTCCGGTCCTTTTCCCTTTTAACTTCTCAGCTAGAGTTTGTTAGGGCGGGTATGGGCACCTGGCAGAGTCTGAGACCTCAGCTTCCAGTAGGCACACGTTCTGACCCAATACACCTACCCTGGTCCCCTAACCTGCTTCTGGTCCCCTAACCTGCTTCTGGGCCCAGGTAATGCATTTTAGGAACATCCCACTTTTCTCCTTACCTGGCTTTCCATTATCCGTCCAAACTAAAGCACCCACCTGTCTGCTTCAGACTCTTGCTTCAAGCACTCCGTCTGGGTCCTCAGAAATTGACTTACAGTCAGTTCAGATCTGACTCAGGCGTGGCCTTCTTTTCTCCTTCCTTGCAGCAGCCACAGTCCCATTCATGGTGCCATTCACCCTCAACTTCACCATCACCAACCTGCAGTACGAGGAGGACATGCGGCACCCTGGTTCCAGGAAGTTCAACGCCACAGAGAGAGAACTGCAGGGTCTGGTGAGAGCCCCGCCCACCGTACTCCTCCCTCGCCCACTTAGACAAACCAGCCCACCTCACACTGCCTCGCCCACTGATGCCAGCCACGCCCACCTCATCCAACCCCAGACACCTTTCCCTGCCCCACCCACTGATTTTAGCCAAGCCCACCTCACCCCACCCAGCCTACTGATGCCAGCCACGCCCACCTTTCCCTGCCCCGCCCACTGATTTCAGCCACGCCCACCTCACCCTGGTCCACCCCTCCAATGCCCCACTCTTCCTGGCTTCCCGCAGCTGTTGTTTCTCACCTCCCCTCTCCTTCCTTGCAGCTCAAACCCTTGTTCAGGAATAGCAGTCTGGAATACCTCTATTCAGGCTGCAGACTAGCCTCACTCAGGTGAGACGCTCCTTAAGAAAAACACAGCCCAACAGGTGAATATGACCCTAGTCTCTGGGCTCCCTGACTCTGTTCATACTTGGAACAACTATTGCCCATGGATACTAAGCATCACCACCAGCAGCAGCAGATAACTATTCCTAAGACCCAAGGCACTGCATTATGTACTTTATATTTAATGCCTCATCAGTGCTTGCAACAGCCTCATGAAGCAGGAGCAGAAGGGGAAACTGAGGCCCAGATTAAGTGGCTTGTGCCAGGACACACAAAGCAACTGCAGCACTTCAGGTTCTATATCCAAACTCCTATCCCTTAGGTGGCACTTCCTCCTCTGCCCCCATTATGAACTTGCAGCATGTGGAAAACCCCAATCTGACTTCCCTCTAAGGGAACTTGCCCAGAGAATCTAAGAGGGGAGGAAAGGAAGGCGTTCAGCCCTTACAGGCAGGAGGTCAGCTCCTGAGTGGCTCAGATGCAGCCACAGAGGGCCTGGCCGGTCTGAGGGTGACTGAGAGGCACCGAGGGCACTGTCCCTGAGTGCTGGAAAGGGCAGGTCTTTTAGGGTAGACAGCGGTTGATATCATTTCCTGCCTGGCATTCTCACCTTCCACACCTCTCTCACAGAATCTCCAAGTGTGGCTCTCCCAAGAGAGAGTGTCAGTCATCTACCTCCAGCTTCCTTTCCTTCCCAGGGGGAAGAGGGGACAGGGGGGCCCTAGTGGCTAAGAGCATTGGTGAACTCAGGCAGACCTCAGTTCTGAACCAACCCAGCTCTGCCATTTACTATCTGTGACTCTGAGCAAGTGCCTGAAGCCTTCTGTGCCCTATTTCCTGACATATTATATATATAAAATACATATATTATATATAGACATATTTTATATACATATTGAGGCATATTTTATAAACATGTTTATAGACACATTTTTATATGCATATGTTATATACGTATATAACATATGTTATATATAATGTATATATTATACATATTGTTATATTGTATACATGTTATATATGTTATAGCATATATAGTACAAGTTATATATAACACATACATTATGTTACATATAATGTATATGTTATATATGATATATTATATATAATTATATATTATATAAAACTGTTATATATAATTATATATAATATATAGTTGTTATATATAATTATATAATTGTTATATATTATATACAACATATAACATACATTATATATTGTTATATATAATATAATATATACATATATAACATATGTATAACTTTTATGTTATACATAATGTATATAACATATATGTGTATGTGTGATGTACATAACATATCTGACATTAACATATAACATATGATATAACAATATTATATGTTATAACATAATATATGTTATAATATAACAATATTATATGTTATAACTTATACTGTCATATGTAACATATACATAATATTTTATAAATCAGTTTAATATACATTATGTTACATATAATGTATGTTATATATGATATATTATATATAATTATATTATACATAATTGTTATATATAATGCATACATTGTATTTGTTACGTATTATATGCAACATATAACATATACATTATGTATTGTTATATATAATGTAATATATACATACATAACATATGTATAACTTATATGTTATATATAATGTATATAACATATATGTGTATGTGATGTATATAACATATCTGACATTAACATATAACATATGTTATAATATGACATATTATATATATTACATATAACGTATATCATGTATAATATAATGTGTATATATAATATATTAAAGTATATAAGTATAAATACATGTAATATTTAAATATATATTATATATAGTATACATGTGGATACATACAACTTCTACATATACCTAGTATATATTCTATATATAAACAGTCCATGAATTACAATGATTCAACTTATGATTTTTCAAACTTTGTGATAATGCCATAGCAATATGCATTCAGTAGAAAGCATACCTTCAACACCCATGCAACCATTCTGTCATTCACTTTCAGTACAATATTCAATAAATTATATGAGATATTCAACAGTTTATTATAAAATAGGCTTTGTGTTAGGTGATTTTGCCCACATGTAGGCTAATGTAAGGGTTCAGAGCATGTTTAAGGTAGGATAGGCTAACCTATCATGTTCTGTAGGTTAGGTATAGTCGATTTTTATTTTTATTTTTATTTTTGAGACAGAGTCTTGCTCTGTCACCCAGACTGGAATGCACTGGTGCGATCATAGCTCACTGCAGCCTTGAACTCCTGGGCTCAAGTGATCCTCCTACCTCAGCCTCCTGAGTAGCTGGGACTACAGGTGTGTGCCACCACACCTGGCTATTTTTTTTTTAATTTTTTTTTTTTTGTGGAGAGGAGGGTCTTGCCATGTTGCCCAGGTGGCCTTGAACTCCTGGGCTCAAGGAATCCTCCCACCTTGGCCTCCCAAAATCCTGGGATTACAGGTGTGAGCCATCACGCCCGGCTACAGGGCATTTTTGACTTATGACATTTTCAGTTCACAATGGATTTGTCAGGGCTGGGCATGATGGCTCACACCTGTCATCCCAGCACTTTGGGAGGCTGAGGCAGGTGGATCACTTGAGGCCAGGAGTTTGAGACCAGGCTGTCCAAATGGCAAAATCTTGTCTCTACTAAAAATACAAAAATTAGCCAGGCGTGGTGTGACAACTGTAGTTCCAGCTACTCGGGAGACTGAAGCGTGAGAATCACTTGAACTTAGGAGATGGAAGTTACAGTGAGTCAAGATCACACCACCGCACTCCAGCCTGGATGACAGAGCAAGACTCTTGTCTCCAAAAAACAAAAAACAGGCTGGGTGCATGGCTCATGCCTGTAATCCCAGCAGTTTGGGAAGCTGAGGCAGGTTTATCACCTGAGGTCAGTAGTTCACGATCAGCTTGGCAAACATGGAGAAAACCCATCTCTACTAAAAATACAAAAATTAGCTGGATGTGGTGGTGGGTACCTGTAGTCCCAGCTACTCGGGAGGCTGAGGCAGGAGAATGGATTGAACCTGGGAGGCAGAGGTTGCAGTGAGCCAAGATCACACCATTGAACTCCAGCCTGGGCAACAGAGTGAGACTCCATCTCCAAAAACAAAAGAAAGCAAAAACAAAAAAATAAAATAAAAAACCTGTGTTTATCAGGACATAATACCATCATGAGTCAAGAAGCATCTAAATGTACATGGTAGTTATATAAAAATAGTTATATAGTTATATACAATAGTTATATATAAACCAGTTTAATATATGTTAAGTAGAGGTATATGGTAGTTATATAAAAAATAGTTATATAATAGTTATAGAGTTATATAATTATATAAAATAGTTATATATAAACCAGTTTAATATATGTTAGGTAGAGGTATAATAATATATATTGTATATACTATATAATATAGTAATGTATAAAATGCAAAACGATATCATATATTTCTATATTAAGTTTATATTTACAGATCTACATTTTATATATTTTATGTTATATACAATTGTGTTATACATAATATAATTAGTATAGTACTGACTTGGGGAATTGAGCAGTACCAACCCATAGGGATGTTTGAGGATGAAAATATGTGATTATGAATACAAAATGCTGGGCCTGCTGCATAGGAAGTATTTAATAAATGGTAGTTGTTACTATAAAGTCGTTCCTACTATAGAGCTACTCACAACCCTGGGACATAGGGAAAGAGCCCGTTTCCCTCTAATCACTCAATAGTGGGTGGCTAGGTAGGTGAGTCCACATCCTGTGGCCGGGAACAGGTGCTGAGACATGAAGACCTTCTGACTGCATGTTGGACCAGCCACAGTTTCAGACGGACCAGCCAAAAAGGGCATTTTCCCCAAGCCATTTAGCTCCCTTGAGTCTCATAACAAATCTCCTAGCCCTGCTGGTCCATAGGATCTAGAGAGGATGACTTGAACCTTCTGATCCCACCATTTGAAAACGCCATGCCATGGGCACCAGTAGGAGGGCCACTGCTACGTGCACCAGTACAAGGGCCACTGCCATGGATTACAGATTAACCCTAAGTATAGCTGTCGCACACCTAGTACTTCAGGAGGCTTATTCGGGGCCATGCAGATCCCTGGCATTATTATCCTAGGATCCTACACCAAGCAAAGCAGGAGCTGCCCCTCCTCATAAACCCATAAGCCCTCCTCTTGAGCAAAGCAGCTGGGAAGGCCAGAAGTTATTCAAGCTCCCCTCTGCCCCGGTTCCAAAGACAGACAGCTCAAGCCTACATGCAGCAAACCCTATAAAAGTGTCACCTCTTGGCATTTCTGCCATGGTAATGCTTTCTGCTTCCACTAATAATCCTAGTAATTTGTTTATGGTGGGCATCTCTCTGATGAGAACCACATTCTTTTTTTTTTTTTTTTTTTTTTTTGAGATAGAGTCTCACTCTGTTGCCCAGACTGGAGTGCAGTGGCGCGATCTCGGCTCACTGTAACCTTTGGCTCCTAGGTTCAAGCAATTCTCCTGCCTCAGCCTCCCAAGTAGCTGGGACTGCAGGCACGTACCACCATGCCCAGCTAATTTTTGTATTTTTAGTTGAGACGGGGTTTCACCATGTTAGCCAGGATGGTCTCAATCTCTTGACCTCATGATCCACCTGCCTTGGCCTCCCAAAGTGTTGGGATTACAGGCATGAGCCACCATGCCTAGCCTGAGAGCCACATTCTTGTTAACCACAATTTTCTCAGAGTCTGCATTAGGGGTTGACAAAGAGTGGAAAGGAAGGACAAAAGGATGGAGAGGTGGATGGACTAAGCATATGTAGGTTCTTACCCAGGCCAGAGAAGGATAGCTCAGCCACGGCAGTGGATGCCATCTGCACACATCGCCCTGACCCTGAAGACCTCGGACTGGACAGAGAGCGACTGTACTGGGAGCTGAGCAATCTGACAAATGGCATCCAGGAGCTGGGCCCCTACACCCTGGACCGGAACAGTCTCTATGTCAATGGTGAGCAGCTGTGATGTGGTTGGAGGCTCTTCCTCCTTGCTGAGCAGCCTGTAATCACTGGCTTGAGGTCACACTCACTGTCAGGCAATTGAAAATTTGGTCCTGTGCTCTACATGGGATGACTAATTTCCGGACTTCATGGTATCTTTTTTTTTTTTTTTTTTTTTTTGAGATGGAGTCTCGCTCTGTCACCAGGCTGAGGTGCAGTGGCATGATCTCAGCTCACTGCAACCTCCGCCTCCCGGATTCAAGCAATTCTCCTGCCTCAGCCTCCTGAGTAGCTGGGACTACAGGTGCATGCCACCACACCCAGCTAATTTTTGTATTTTTAGTAGAGACAGGGTTTCACCATGTTGGTCAGGATGGTCTCAATCTCTTGACCTTCTACTCCACCTTGCCTTGGCCTCCCAAAGTACTGGGATTACAGGCTTGAGCCAC